>NC_000023.11:83068602-83371632 GCF_000001405.40 Homo sapiens | reverse complement strand
CATGTGAGGACACACCATTTGTTCTTTTTTGCTCTTCCATCCTTTCTGCCATGTGAGGACACACCATTTGTTCTTTTTTGCTCTTCCATCCTTTCTGCCATGTGAGGACACTTAGATGGTGTCATATATGAAAAGTAGGCCTTGAACGGAGGCAAAAACTGCCAGCACCTTGGTTTTAGACTTTTCATCCTCCAGAATTGTGAGAAATAAATTTCTGATGTTTATAAATTACTCAGTCTCACATATTTTGTTATAGCAGCACAATTGAACTAAGGCACTAGCCAAGGTGATATACAGATGCAATACAACCCATGTCAAAATTCCAATGAATTTTTTTACAGAAATAGAAAAAAAAGTTCTAAAATTTGTATGGAAACATAAAAGGCCCAGAAAAGCCAAAACAATTCTAAGAAAGAACAAGGGTGGAGGCATCACACTTCTTTATTTCAATTCATACTACAAAGTTATAGTAATCAAAATAGTGTGGTGCTAGCATAAAAATGAACACATAGACCAATAGAACAGAATAGAGAGCCAAGAAATAAACCTAAGCATATATTGTCAACTAGTTATTGACGAGGGCAGCAAGAAGACACAGAAGGGAAAAGCTAATCTCTTCAGCAAACGATGATGAAAAAACTGAATATCCACATGCAAAATAATAAAATTGCAGCTTTATCTTACACTATAACCAAAAATCAACTAAAATGGGATTAAATAACTAAACGTAAGACCTAAAACTGCAACACTTCTTGATTAAAACACAGCAAACAACTTCTTGACATTGATCTCGACAATAAATTTTTGGACAGGACAGCAAAAATACAGGTACAAAAACAAAAATAAACAAGTATAAACTTGTCAAACTAAAAACAAACACTTCTGCCCAGTAAAGAAAACAATCAACAAATTAAGAAAGTAGCCTAAATAATGGGAAAAATATTTGTGGACTATATAATTAGTAGGGGATTAATTTCCGAAAGATAGAAGGAACTCACACAAATCAATAGCAAAAAAAAGGTAATAACCCAAATAAAAATAAACAAAGATCCAGACTATATATTTCTCCAAAGAATACATAAAAATGGCTGACAGATAAATAAAAATATACTTAACATCAATAATAATAAGGGGAATGCAAACCAAAACCACAACGAGATAATACCTCACTGCTGTTAGGATGGCTATTATCGAAAAGACAAGATAACAAGTGTTGGCAGGGGTGTGGTGAAAAAACAACCCTTGTACAGTGGTAATGTTGGTGGGAATGTAGATTGGTGTAGCCATTGTGGAAAGCAGTATAAAGATTCCTGAAGAAAGTAAAAATAGACCTACCACAGGACTCAGCAATCCCTCCATTATTATTATTACTATTAATTTTTATTATATTTGCCATCCTAAATCAGTAATGTTGAGCATCTTTTCATTGTGGTTATTTGTATATTGTCTTCAGATATATATTGATTAAAATATATTGCCCAGTTTTAAAATAGATTGTTATGCTGTTGTTCTTGAATTGCAGGAGCATTCTATATGTTCTGAGTATTATCCCTTAACAGATACACGATTTTCAAACATTGTCTCTCATTTTGTAGGTGGCCTTTTCACTGTATTGATTGTGTCCTTTGATGTAAACAATTTTTTAATTTTGTTGTATTTCAGTTTGGCTATTTTTTGCTCTTGTTGCTTGTGCTTTTGGTGTCATATCTGAGAAATCATTGCCAAATTCAGTTATGTAAATTTTTCCCCCTTTGCGTAAATCTGAGTTTTATAGCTTTAGCTCTTACGTTTAAGGTTTTTTTTTTTGACTTAATTTTTGTATATTGTAAGATAAGGATGGAACTTTATTCTTTTGCATTTATACATCCAGTTTTCTCAACAGTCTCCTTTCCCCATTAAATGATCTCGGCAACCTTGTCAAAAATCATTTGACCATATATGGAAAGATGCATTTCTGGGATATCTGTTACTTTCCATTGGTCTATGTGTCTGTCTTTACACTAGGACCACAATGTCTTGCATACTGTAGTTTTGTAAAAACTTTGGATATCAGGAAGTGTGAGAACTTCAGTTTTGTTCTCCAATATTTCTTTGATTATTTAGACTCCTTTGAGATTCCATGTGAATTTTAAGATGGAGATTTTTCTATTTTTGAAAAAAACAGCGTTGGTATTTTGATATCAATTACCTTAAATCTGTAGATTGTTTTGGGTAGTATCGACATCTTAATGGTATTAAGTCTTTTATTCCATGAACATAGGATAACCTTCATTCCAACCTCATGTTGAAATGTAATCCTTAATAATGTTGAAGGTGGAATTCAGACAGAGTTGCTTGGGTCCTTCATGAATGTTTTGGGGTCCTCCCCACGGTAATGAGTTTTGGTGTCAGGATGATACCAGCTCCTCTATGTATTTCTGGTAGAATTCAGCTGTGAATCTGCCTGGTCTTGGTCTTTTTGTGGTTGGTAGGTATTAATTGCTGCCTCAATTTCAGAGCTTCTTATTGGTCTATTCAGGGATTTGACTTCTTCCTGGTTAAGTCTTGGTAGGTTGTATGGGTCCAGCAGTTCATTCATTTCTTCTAGATTTTCTAGTTTACATGCATAGAGGTGTTATAGTATTCTCTGATGGTAGTTTGTATTTCTGCTGGGTCGGTGGTGATATTACCTTTATCATTTTTTATTGTGTATACTTGATTCTTCTTTCTCTTCTTCTTTATTAGTCTAGCTAGCAGTCTATCTAGACTGCTAATTTTTGTTAGATTGTTAATTTTTAAAAAAAACACAGCTCCTGGATTTGTTGACTTTTTGGAGGGTTTTTCATGTCTCCATCTGCTTCAATTTTTCTCTGATCTTAGTTATTTCTTGCCTTCTGCTAGCTTTTGGATTAGTTTGCCCTTGCCTCTCTAGCTCTTTTAATTGTGATGTTTGGGTGTCGATTTTAGATCTAACTTCCTGATGTGGGCATTTAGTACTATAAATTTCCCTTTTAATAGTGCTTTAGCTGTGTCCCAGAAATTCTGGTACATTGTGTCTTTGTTCTCATTGGTTTCAAAGAACTTCTTGATTTCTGCCTTAATTTCATTATTTAGCCAGGAGTCATTCAGGAGCAGGTTGCTCAATTTCCATGAAATTGTGTGCTTTTGAGTGAGTTTCTTAATCCTGAGTTCTAATTTGATTGCACTGTGGTCTGAGAGACTGTTTGTTATGATGTAAGTTCTTCTGCATTTGCTGAGGAGTATTTTACTTCCAATTATGTGGTCGATTTTAGAATAAGTGCCATGTGGCACTGAGAAGGATGAATATTCTGTTGACTTGGGGTAGACAGTTCTGTAGAGTCTACTAGGTCCACTTGATCCAGAGCTGAGTTCAAGTCCTGAATATCCTTGTTAATTTTCTGTCTCATTGATCCATCTAACATTGACAGTGGGGTGTTAAAGTCTTCCACTATTATTGTCTGGAAGTTTAAGTCTCTTTGTAGGTCTCTAAGAACATGTTTTATGAATCTGAGTTCTCCTGTATTTGGTGCGTATATATTTAGAATAGTTAGCTCTTCTTCTAGAATCGTTCCCTTTACCATTATGTAATGAAAGTTGCTTCTGTTTGCACACAACATGATTTTTATTTAGAAAAATCCATAATCTCAGCCCAAATCTTCTTGAAGTGATATGCAACTTCAGCGTAGTCTCAGGATACAAAATCAGTGTTCAAAACACAAGCATTCCTATACACCAAAAATAGGCAAGCAGAAAGCCAAATCATAAATGAAATCCCATTCACAGTCGCTAAAAGAAGAATAAAATACCTAGGAATACAGCAAACAAGGAATGTGAAAGACCTCTTCAAGGAGAATTACAAACCACTGATCAAGGAAATAAGAGAGGACACAAACAAATGGAAAAACATGCCTTCCTCATGAATACGAAGAATTAGTATTGTGAAAATGGCCATAATGCCCAAAGTAATTTAAAGATTCAATGCTATTCCCATTAAACTACCATTGACATTCTTCATAGAATGAGAAAAAACTACTTTAAATTTCATCTGGAACCAAAAAAGGAACCCATAAAGCCAATACAATCCTAAGCAAAAGGAACAAAGCTGGAAACATCACACTACCTGACTTCAAACTATACTACAAGCCTACAGTAACCAAAACAGCATGATATTGGTACTAAAACAGACATATAGACCAATAGAGCAGAACAGAGACCAGAGAAATAACACCACTCATCTACAACAATCACATCCTCTACAAAACTGATAAAAACAAGCAATGGGGAAAGGATCTCCTATTCAGTAAATGGTGCTGAGAAAACTGGCTAGCCATATGCAGAAAAATGAACTAGCCCCTTCCTTACACCTTATACAAAAATTAACTCAAGATGGATTAAAGACTTAAATATAAAACCCAAAACCATAAAAGCCCTAGAAGAACACCCCACCTCCTGACAGGTCCCAGTGGGTGATGTTCCCTTCCCTGTGCTCATATGTTCTCATTATTCAACTCCCACTTATGAGTGAGAATATGTGATGTTTGGTTTTCTGTTCCTGTGTTAGTTTTCTGAGAATTATGGTTTCCAGCTTCATCCATGTCCCTGCAAAGGACATGAACTCATTCTCATTCTTTTCTATGGCTGCATAGTATTCCATGGTGTATATGTGCCACATTTTCTTTATCCAGTCTATCATTGATGGGCATTTGAGTTGATTCCAAATCTTTGCTATTGTGAATAGTGCTGCAATAAACATACATATGCATGTGTCTTTATAGTAGAATAATTTCTAATCATTTGGGTATATACCCAGTAATGGGATGGCTGGGTCAAATGGTATTTCTAGTTCTAGATCCTTGAGGAATCACCACACTGTCTTCTACAATGGTTGAACTAACTTACACTGTCACAAACAGTGTACAAGCGTTCTTATTTCTCCACATCCTCTCCAGCGTCTGTTTTTTCCTGACATTTTAATGAGCGCCATTCTAACTGGCATGAGAGAGTATCTCAGTGTGGTTTTGATTTGCATTTTTCTAATGACCAGTGATGATGACCTTTTTTTCATATGTTTGTTGGCCCTATAAATGTCTTCTTTGAAAAGTGTATTTTCATATCCTTCACCCACTTTTTGATGGGGGTTGTTTGTTTTTTTCTTGTAAATTTGTTTAAGTTCCTTGTAGATTCTGGATATTAGCCGTTTGTCAGATGGACAGATTGCAAAAATTTTATCCCATTCTGTAGGTTGCCTGTTCACTCTGATGATAGTTTCTCTTGCCGTGCAGAAGCTCTTTAGTTTAATTAGATCCTATTTGTCAATTTTGGCTTTTGTTGCAATTGCTTTTGTTGTTTTAGCCATGAAGTCTTTGCCCATGCCTTATGTCCTCAATGGTATTGTCTAGGTTTTCTTCTAGAGTTTTTATGGTTTTAGTTCTTATATTTAAATTTTTAGTCCATCTTGAGTTATTTTTTGTATAAGGTGTAAGGAAGGGGTCCAGTTTCAGTTTTCTGCATATGGCTAGCCAGTTTTCCCAACACCATTTATTAAAATTACTTTTTTAGGTTGGAAATGGTGGCTCACGCCTCTAAGCCCTGCATTTTGGGATGCCAAGCAGGCAGATCGCTAGAGCCCAGGAGTTTAAGACAAGCTTGGGCAACATGGTGAAACCCTATCTCTACTAAGTTTTTTTAAAATGGCTAGGCATGGTGACTGACACCTATGATCCCAGCTACTTAGGAGGCTGAGGTGGGGGGATCATTTGCGCCCAAGAGGCAGATGCTGCAGTGAGCTGCATTTGCGCCATTGCTCTACAGTCTCCTCTGTCACTCAGGCTAGAGTGCAGTGGCATGATCAGCATTCACTGTGCCTCAGCCTCTAGAGCTCAAGAGATCTTCACCCTTCAGCCTCCCTAGTAGCTGAGACTACAGGCATGTACCACCACAACAAGCTAATATTTATGTATTTATTTATTTATGCATTTATTGTCCCATGTTTCCCAGGCTGGTCTCAAACTCTTGGGATCAGGCAATCCTCTCACCTTGGTCTCTCAAAGTACTGGGATTACAGGTGCGAGTCATGAGTATAGGCACAAAAACTCTGTATGGAGGTTTGTGGTATGGATGGTTCCATCATCCAGATAATGAACATAGTATAGATAGTTTTTCAACCCACATCCTCCACCTTCCCTCCCTCTTTCATTACCTCCTAAATTTAATTTTTTTAAAGGACTCTTTATATGTTGTGGATATTTGCCCTTTATCGCACGTAGTACAGATTATTAAAAGTAGTTTTTCATTGGTCTTTTAACTTTGATTATGGGTTAATTTTTCTCATGTAAGTTTTTAATTTGTAAAGAAAGAATTATATTGTACAAACTATTCTAGAATGTTATTTACCCACTTAATATACTGTATAATATGTCTATATATCTGTCTTATTGGTTAAGTTCTACATAGCTTCCCACCATATGTATCTGCCATATTTTATTTAAGCAGTCCTCTGTTAACTATACATTTAGGATAATTTTTCTCGCTTTTGGAACTGAAACCGTTGTGTCAATGAGCTTTCCTGTACCTTCAAATTCTTTGTAAATGGTTAGATACATTCACAGGATACAGTGAAACAGCAGTGGAATTGTTGCATCTTAAGTGTAGGTAAACAAAATATTATAGGAGATTGCCAAATTGTAGGAAAGAATGGGTTCTCACTGTTGGAGACTGATTGAGATTTCAGCAGTTAGGAATAAAGATATTACAGGAAGAAGGGAAGAATATATTAAGACATGGAGTTCCCCAATCATCTCCAAATGCCCACAAGAGAAAGCGGGAAAGATCTAAAATTGACACCCTAACATCACAATTAAAAGAACTAGAGAAGCAAGAGAAACACATTCAAAACCTAGCAGAAGACAAGAAATAACTAAGATCAGAGCAGAACTGAAGGAGATAGAGACACAAAAAACCCTTCAAAAAATCAATGAATGCAGGAGCTGGTTTTTTAAAACGATCAACAAAATTGATAGACTGCTAGCAAGACTAATAAAGAAGAAAAGAGAGAAGAATCAAATGATGGACTAAAAAATGATAAAGGAGATATCGCCACAGATCCCACAGAAATACAAACTACCATCAGAGAATACTATAAACACCTCTATGCAAATAAACTAGAAAATCTAGAAGAAATGGATAAATTCCTGAACACATACACCCTCCCAAGACTAAACCAGGAAGAAGTTGAATCCCTGAATAGACCAATAACAGGCTCTGAAATTGAGGCAATAATTAAGAGCCTACCAACAAAAAAAGTCCAGGACAGGACGGATTCACAGCTGAATTCTACCAGAGGTACAAGGAGGAGCTGGTACCATTCCTTCTGAAACTATTCCAATCAATAGAAAAAGAGGGAATCCTCCATAACTCATTTTATGAGGCCAGCATCATCCTGATACCAAAGCCTGGCAGAGACACAACAAAAAAAGAGAATTTTAGACCAATATCCCTGATGAACATCGATGCAAAAATCCTCATTAAAATACGGACAAACAGAATCCAGCAACACGTCAAAAAGCTTATCCACCATGATCAAGTTGGCTTCAACCCTGTGATGCAAGGCTAGTTCAACATACACAAATCAATAAACGTAACCCAGCATATAAACAGAACCAATGACAAAAACCACATGATTATCTCAATAGATGCATAAAAGGCCTTTAACAAAATTCAACAGCCCTTCATTCTAAAAACTCTCAATAAACTAGGTATTGATGGGATGTATCTCAAAATAATGGGAGCTATTTATGACAAACCCACAGCCAATATCATAATGAATGGGCAAAAACTGGAAGCATTCCCTTTGAAAACGGGCACAAGACAGGGATGACCTCTCTCACCACTCCTATTCAACATAGTGTTGGAAGTTCTGGCCAGGCCAATCAGGCAGGAGAAAGAAATAAAGGGTATTCAATTAGGAAAAGAGGAAGTCAAATTGTCCCTGTTTGTAGGTGACATGATTGTATATTTAGAAAATCCCATCGTCTCAGCCCAAAATCTCCTTAAGCTGATAAGCAACTTCAGCAAAGTCTCAGGATACAAAATCAATGTGCAAAAATCACAAGCATTCCTATACACAAATAACAGACAAATAGAGAGCCAAATCATGAGTGAACTCCCATTCACAATTGCTTCAAAGAGAATAAAATACCTAGGAATCCAACTTACAAGGAATGTGAAGGACCTCTTCAAAGAGAACTACAAACCACTGCTCAATGAAATAAAAGAAGACACAAACAAATGGAAGAACATTCCATACTCAAGTATAGGAAGAATCAATATTGTGAAATGGCCATACTGCCCAAGGTAAATTATAGATTCAATGATATACCCATCAAGCTACCAATGACTTTCTTCACAGAATTGGAAAAAACTACTTTAAAGTTCATATGGAACCAAAAAAGAGACTGCATTGCCAAGACAATCCTAAGCCAAAAGAACAAAGCTGGAGGCATCATGCTACCTGACTTCAAACTACACTGCAGGGCTACAGTAACCAAAACAGCATGATACTGGTACCAAAACAGAGATGTAGACCAATGGAACAGAATAGAGCCCTCAGAAATAATACCACACATCTACAACCATCTGATATTTGACAAACCTGACAAAAACAAGCAATGGGGAAAGGATTCCCTATTTAATAAATGGTGCTGGGAAAACTGGCTAGCTATATGAAGAAAGCTGAAACTGGATCCCTTCCTTACACCTTATACAAAAATTAAATCAAGATGGGTTAAAGACTTACATGTTAGACCTAAAACCATAAAAACCCTAGAAGAAAACCTAGGCAATACCATTCAGGACATAGGCATGGGCAAGGCCTTCATGACTAAAACACCAAAAGCAATGGCAACAAAAGCCAAAATTGACAAATGGGATCTAATTAAACTAAAGAGCTTCTGCATGGAAAAAGAAACTAGCATCAGAGTGAACAGGCAACCTACAGAATGGGAGAATATTTTTACAATCTACCCATCTGACAGAGGGTTAATATCCAGAAACTACAAAGAACTTAAACAAATTTACAAGAAAAAATCAAACAACCCTATCAAAAAGTGGGAAAAGGATATGAACAGACACTTTTCAAAAGAAGACATTTATGCAGCCAAAAGACACATGAAAAAATGCTCATCATCACTGGCCGTCAGAGAAATGCAAATCAAAACCACAATGAGATAGCATCTCACACCATTTAGAATGGTGATCATTAAAATGTCAGGAAACAACAGGTGCTGGAGAGGATGTGGAGAAACGGGAACACTTTTACACTCTTGGTGGGAGTGTAAGCTAGTTCAACCATTGTGGAAGACAGTGTGGCAATTCCTCAAGGATCTAGAACTAGAAATACCATGTGACCCAGTAATCCCATTACTGGGTATATACCCAAAGGATTATAAATCATGCTGCTATAAAGACACATGCACACGTATGTTTATTGCGACCCTACTCACAATAGCAAAGACTTGAAACCAACTCAAATGTCCATCAATGATAGACTGGATTAAGAAAATGTGGCACATACACACCATGGAATACTATGTAGCCATAAAAAAGGATGAGTTCATGTCCTTTGTTGAGACATGGATGAAGCTGGAAACCATCATTCTGAGCAAACTATCGCAAGGACAGAAAACCAAACAGTGCATGTTCTCACTCATAGGTGGGAATTGAACAATGAGACCACTTGGACACAGGATGGGGAACATCACACACTGGGGCCTGTTGTCAGGTGGGGGAGTGGGGAGTGGTAGCATTAGGAGATATACCTAACATAAATGATGAGTTAATGGGTGCAGCACACCAACATGCCACATGTATACATATATAGCAAACCTGCATGTTGTGCGCATGTACCCTAGAACTGAAAGTATAATAAAAAAATAGAAAAAAAAATATAATGATGATGAATTTAACTTAAACCAAATATATGGAAACTTTCATTGGAAAATAAAGTCAAATGGTAAGATAGTTTGTCAAAAAGCAATCAAGCTCATATAACACTTTTATTTTCTGAAACCCTAAAACAGTTGTTTTTAAATAGTGTTTCATAAAACCATAAGATTACCAAAAGGGGAGAAGGAGGACAGGCCCCAGCTCATCTTCCATCAAAATATTTCATATTAAATTTGTTTTATATATAGGGGCTCAACATGAGATTTCATTTCACGGACAGGTATATATCACTGATAAGCAAAGGAAAAGATAAATAATTCTATGGGAAGTATGTTACACTAAAAATATCTAGGATTATATTCAAATGCTTTGATCTCAAGAACTTTCTTCAATCTCAAAAAAATGAGTTTATAAAAATCTTTCATTTTGTAAATCTTATTTATTAATATTTCCCATATTAAAATTAAAATTAAAATTCTGAGTTGAAAAATGTGTTTTCTCTATTTAACAAAATATGTTTCAATTGACAGATAAAATTGTATATATTAATCATGAACAAAGTAATGTTTTGATATATATGTATATACACACATTGTGTATCAAGCTAGTTAACATATACATTACTTCACATCGTTGCCATTATTATGGTGAGAACACTTAAAATTCACTCTCAGTATTTTTCATGAATTCAATATTTTGTTTTTAACTTTAATCACTATGTTGTATAATAGATTTCTTAAACTAATTGCTCTTATATGACTGAAATTTTGTAACCTGTGACCAACCACCTGATATCCCCAACCACCTTTCCCACCACTGCCCAACCTCTTGGTAACCACCGTTTTACTCTCTACTTTTATAAGATCAACATTTTTAGATTCCACATTAGAATGAGATCACGCAGTATTTGCCTTTCTGTGCCTGGCTTATATAACTTAAGATAATATTCTCCAGGTTCATCCATGTAACAAATGACAGGATTTTCTTCTTTTTATGGCTGAATAATATTTTATTTTATATGTATTATAAAACATTTATGCTTATATATTTTATCTATCCATTCATCCATTGATGGATACTTAGGTTGATTCCACATCCTGGCTATTGTAAAAACATTTTTAAAAGTACAGGACTGTTGACATACTGATTTCATTTCCTTTGGATATAAACTCAGTAGTGGGATTGCTGGATCATATCGTAGCTCTGCTTTTAATTTTTTTGAGGAAACTTCATACTGTTTTCCATAATGACCATACTAATTTGCATTTCCACCAACAGAGTGCAAGTTTCCTTTTTTTCTGCATCTTCATCAACCTTTGTTATTTTTTGTCTTTTTGATAATATTCATTCTAACAGGTGTGAGGTGATATTTCATTGTGGTTTTAATTTGCATTTCCCTGATGATTAGTGATGTTTAGCACCTTTTCATATATCTATTGACTATTTGTTTGTCTTCTTTGGAGAAACATCTCCTCAAGATTTTTGACCATTTTAAAAAATCGGGTTATTTGTTTTCTTGCTATTGGGTTGTTTGAGTTCTTTATATCTTTTGGATACTAACCTCTTATAAATGTATGATTTACAAATATTTTTCTCATTCTCTAGATTTTATCTTCATTTCTTTGATGTCGTCCCTTGCTGTGCAGAAGCTTTTTAGTTTTATATAATCTCATTTATCTATTTTTACTTTTGTTTATTGTGCTTTTAGGGTCATATAAAAAATTTTTGCCAAGACCAATGTAATGGAGTGTACCCTCTAGGCTTTTGTCTAGTAATTTAACTGCTTTTGGACTTACATTGAAGTCTTTCATTTATTTTGAATCAGTTTTTGTATAAGGTGTGAGATAAGGGTTTATTTTTGTTCTTCTGCCTGTGGATATACAGTTTTCCTAACACCATTTGTTGAAGAAACTGTCCTTTCCCCCATTGTGTGTTTTTGACACCTTTGTCAAGATTCGCCTGGCCACAAATGTGTGGATTTATATCTGATCTCTCTACTGTGTTCCATTGGTATATATTTCTGTTTTTATGCTAGTACCATGTTATTTTTGTTACTATAGCTTTGTAAGACATTTTAAAGTCAGGTAGTGTGATTCTTCCAGTTTTATTCATTTTGGTCAAGTTTCCTTGGCTATTTGGGGTATTTTGTGGTTCTACATTACTATTAGATTTTTTTTTATTTCCATAAAAAGCACCATTGGTTTTTTGATAGGAATTGTCTTTAATCTGTAGATCACTTTAGCTATAATGAACACGTCATCAATGTTTATTCTTCCAATCCATGAACATGGACATCTTTCCATTTACTTGTGTCTTCTGAAATTTCTTTCATCGTGTTATATAGTTTTCAGTTTAGAAATCTGTCGTCTCCTTGGTTAAATTTATTCCTAAGTATTTTATTTTTGTAGTTATTATCAATAGGATTGTTGTCTTGATTCCTTTATCACATGATTCATTGTTAAAATATAGAAATGTTACTTATTTTTGTATGCTGATTTTGTATCCTGTCACTTTACTGAATTTAATTATTTCTACCAGTGTTTTGGTGAAATCTTTAGGTTTTCTAGATATAAGATTATGTTGTCTGGGCTGGGTGCGGTGGTTCATGCCTGTAATCCCAGCACTTTGGGAGGCTGAGGCAGGCAGATCACCTGAGATCATGAGTTCGAGACCAGCCTGGCCAACATGGTGAAACCCCATATCTACTAAAAATAGAAAAATTAGCCAGGCATGGTGGTTTGCACCTATGGTACCAGCTACATGGGAGGCTGAGGAAGGAGAATTGTTTGAACCTGGGAGACAGAAGTTGCAGTGAACTGAGACCATGCCACTGCATTCCAGCCTGAGCGATAAAGTGAGACTCAGTCTCAAAAAAAAAAAAAAATATGTTGTCTGTAAACCAGTCCAGTTTTATTTCTTCTTTGCAAATGTGGATGCCTTTACTTTCTTTCTGTTGCCTAATTGCCCTAGCCAGGACTTCATTGTTTTGTTGAATAAAAGTGCTGAAAGTGAACATCTTTGTCTTGTTTATGATCTTAGAAAGAAAGCTTTTAATATTCCTTATTGAGTATGATGATGGCTGCTTGTAATATACGGCCTCTATTGTGTTTAGGTGCATTCCTTCTATACCTAATTTGTTGAGAGTTTTTATCATGAAAATATTTTGTATTTTGTCAAATGATTTTTCTGCATCTATTGAAATGATGATATAGTTGTTCTTTATTCTACTACTGTGGTTTATCTCATTTTTAGTTTTCTGTATGTTGAACTATCCTTGTATCCCAGGGGTGAATCCTACTTGATCATGGGGAATGATATTTTTAATGAAATGTTAAATTTTGTTTGCTAATTTTCGCTGAGGATTTTTGTATCTATGTTCATCAGGGATATCGGGCTGTAGTTTTTTGCTTTGTAGTGTCTTCGTCTAGTTTTTCTATCACGATAATATTTATTTTTAATAATTTAATTTTATATCAATTTAATTAAAATTTATTTTTAAAATTGTTATTTAAAAGTGATTATAATAAACCCATTATATGTTAACATAAATAACTGACATTTTATAAAATCTATATTTTTCTAACCAAAAAAATTGCGATAAGAGTGGCATTGTTTTACTATTTTTGCAAATCTTTGGAATAGCTTGTACAATGGAAAAGAACTTTAAAGGAACAATCTCATTCTATTTTTAATGTGTGACTATTCACAGCTTTCAAGCTTCATCTTTCTCTTTCCTCCTCTTGTCTCACATCTGGGAAAGCTGATAAGAAAGCATATGCACTCACCCTTTGGCACCAGTGGGAAGTTCAAAGCCCATAATCTCTGGTACAGTCCCAATTCCCTAAATAAAAGAATAGCCATGACCATTCACCCCTCCTTGGTTTCTCAGTTCATTTTTGGACCTGCTTGGGAGCCACTCTTGCTCTCTCCAGAGAGCCTCATTATACATGTCATAAATTTTTGCAAACCTTTTTGGTGCATGTGTGGCATGGTTAGTCTCAACATTCAAACCACATTTGGGTGGAGTGCCCATCCCATCTCTTTGGTGTGACCACAACACAGCTGGATTCTTTTATGTGCTTCTTCATTCAATCTTTTCCGTATGTTGTTTTACTTTAAATATATAAAGAAACTCCAGCCTCACACAGATATATAGTTGGAAAAAGTATTATTCTAATAACTTTTTTAGAAAATTGTGGATATTCCCCTTTAATACTTTACCAAAACTTGGTAAGTGTTAGTTGCAATAGATAAGGTAGTTTCAATGTGAAATTTTAGACAATGTTAATAAATTTGACATTTAGAAAAAGTTTGCTGCTAGGCGTGGTGTCTCATGCCTGTAATCCTAGCACTTTGGGAGGCCCAGGAGGGTGGATCTCTTGAGCCCAGGAGTCTGAGACTAGCCTAGGCAACATAAAGAAATGTTTTCTCTCAAAATAAAATAAAGTAAAAAATAAAATAAAATAAGCCAGACGTGGTAGCACTTGCCTGTGGTCCCAGCTACTTGGGAGGCTGAGGTGGAAGGATTACTTGAGCCCAGGAAGTTGAGGTTGAAGTGAGCAGTGATCATGCCACTGCACTCGAGCCTGGGCTACAGAGTGAGACCAAATAACAAATATTTTTGATAAATACTGTCATTTTTTTTTCACTGATGTCTTGCTTCCTCTATTTTTGAGAAAAAGTCTACCAAATACCTGTCTAAATGACCATGATTTTTCTCTCATGCTTTCAAATAAAACAATGTGTTGTTTAGGTTTCAAAATGGCTAACATCTTTTACTTCAAACAATCATACAACTGCTTTTTCTGGAGAAAACCATCATACTTTAGTATGCAACAAAGGTGCTTTATGTACACTTCCCATTTTATCAAAAAATTATTAAAAAGTTGTGTATTCAGGGATTTAGATTTAATAGCCTTGATAGTCTTTACCGCTTCATCAAGAATGTTTTCCGGTATAACTGGCTTGTTTCTACTTGCATATGTGTGACAGTAAATAACATAATGACTATTAGCAGTTTAGTACCACTGCCTTGATTTTTTCTAAGGTGCCAGCATTTTTAATCCTCATTGATTTTCTGCCATATGCCAATATCTACACAATAAAAAAGGCAGATCATATTTTGGCATTTAAATGGAAATATTTTGATGTCACAGACTTTAGGGAAGAGTATCAGTAATCACAAGGGTACTTGCACCACTATTTGAGAACCACATTTAGGGACTTAGAAAAAAGGGAAATACGTGAGAAATATGTGCAATTAAATAACGATTTTACAGAGCAAGTGTAACTTGAGTTGGAATCATAACAATTGACATTTGGACAGGCAACCATGGAAAGGAAAAGCATTTTAAGCAGTTCCCTCTGCATGAATGTAACTGTTGTGGTATATGGGAGAAACAACCAGGGGTCTGGTGAAAGATTACAGAGTAGAAGAAAGATGGAAATAAGCTACCTGGTTAGGATGAGATATGAGTATAAAATCAGGCACTCTGATAATGAGTGGCATGAAGATAAAATGGTGAGAACCTTTGAATATGAAGTGAAATATTAGCAATAAGAGGAAATAAAATGCTCAGCAAAATGTCGGCCCTTCATTGTTTATCAGAATTATTAATTAGCAATTTTCAAGTATCTTATTACAAATTAGGTAGAAACACAAACATGATTTTGCTAAATGGGAAGCATAGTTTCAGAGAGGTAACAAACCAGTAAACATCTTCACAAGCAAGCATTGCTTTAGTAGTTTTAATTAGTGGATTTGCTGTTAGTTAATTTAATTCATTCGTTCCTCAATCTTCTGAGAGTCATGTTTGTAAAGAAAATTTTCTGAGACAATTGCTGACAGTTTTTTCTTCTTCATGTGGGAGGGTTTCTTTTGTGTTGATGGTTTACAGACTCCGTATAGTCCAGTGAAAGGATCAGTGCTTTCTCTCAGCATGGCTCGCAGATGGAATGCTATGAAGACAACCATACACGTCAGCATTGCCCAGAATGAATACTGATTTGGGAAAAAACAGGATGCTAGAAGGCACTAGAAAGCACTAGAATATGCTAATCATGTTTGGATGCAAACAAGAATTTTGGTAATTCATCTGGCCTGAGTGAGGAATGCTGCATGCATTTTTCTTAATAGACTTTTTTTACTTATAGTTTTAAAAGCAAGTAACATTTGCAAACAAACTGCACGTGAGGTATAGTTGTTTTATTTTATTAAGTCAGTCAAATAACAAATTAGACTAACCCCACCCCCACCCCCAACTAAATTAACGGGTTGATGGAATTTAATAAATTGGTTGTTTTCGTTCATTGGTGATTATTATTGCTTCTTTTCCTTTTTTCCTTTTCATTATACAATAAACCCACCTAAAAATTTTGCAGCAGAAAAATAACCCCAAATAACTTAAGGCCCTATATAATATTTAGAGTTTTCCTTATTGATTTGGTTTAAATTCCCAATAGGTTCGAGTGTTTGGCGAAATCTCTACTTTTATTTAAAAGAAGAAAAAGGGACCGGGGTGGTGATTGATTCATGCTTGTAATCCCAGCACTGTGGGAGGCCATGGAGGGGGGATCACTTCAGGGTGGGTGGATCACTTGAGCCCAGGAGTTAGAGCTCAGCCTGAGCAACGTAGTAAGACCTTGTCTCTACAAAAAATTTTTAAAAATAGCCAGGTGTGGTGGTGTACAAAGCTGCAGCTAGCTGTGATTGTACCACTGCACTGCACTCCCACCTGGGCAACAAGGTGAGACACTGTCAAAAAAAATAAATAAATGAAGAAGAAGAAGAAGGAGAAGGAGAAGGAGAAGGAGAAGAAGAAGAAGAAGAAGAAGAAGAAGAAGAAGAAGAAGAAGAAGAAGAAGAAGGAAGAAGAAGAAGAAGAAGGAAGAAGAAGAAGAAGAAGAAGAAGAAGAAGAAGAAGAAGAAGAGGAAGAAGAAAGAAAGTTCTTTGTAAGTATCTCTGTGACCCCTCAATGCTGAGAAAAATAAATGTCACTCCCAAAACAAATAAAACAATAAAACAAACCCTTGCATTTATTCAGAGGTATTCAGTCAGCTCTTTTAAAGTGGAAATCTATTTATTTTAAAATTTAAAAATGACTTTTTTAAATCACAAAAGCAGTACCTATTCATTACAGAAATGTTGAGTAATAACTTACTCAGTATTTTGAACCTAATATTGGAAGAAAGTCATGCTTTTCTGCAATACTTCAGATTTGCAAGTACCTCTCCATTGCAACGAAGACAATGTTTACATATTCATGTCCGTGCCTACTGAAACCTCAATTCACTATAATTCAACTAAGCAAAACGTTTTACTAATGTAAGGTTGACAGATTTATAAAATAAAAATACAGGATGCCCAGCTAAATTAGTTAATTCTCAGTATATGCATGCCTCAAATATCATCCTGTATTTTAATTTGCAACTTTATAGCCCGAACTTTACTATTACTCTTTGCCTTAGAATAAAAGGTGAAAAATTAAAAATAACAGAAAAGAGCAAAACAAATTCTTGTTATAGAATAAGTAAAACACAAAACAAACAAACAAATACATTCCAGACCTTAACACACATCTAGCCTACTCTCCCATACTTACAGTCCTCCAGTCCTAAACGGTGAGAGGCAGATCCTTATTTAAGTGGAGACATTCAGAGCACAGTTGATCTTATTGTCAGACCGATTTGTCTGCCACTAATTCTCAACTTTCAATTTCTTGTCTTTAAAATTAAGATACCTACCTAAGTTGATTGATATAGAAATTAAATGAGATAATATGTGGAAAGTGTTTTACATATAGTTATCTGTCATTTTCTTCAATCAAGTAAAAGAAGATTAAATTATATTTACTAAATACTATAGGGCCAAAATCTTGAAGCTATTACATTTTAGACTGTTTTTAATTTTTATTATAAAAATTTCAAATATGCACAAAGGTAGAGAAAATAATAACAATAAAATGCCATGTATTTAGTACCCAGACTCAAAAATTATCAACATTTTACCATTCTCATTCTCCTCCTTTTTTTTTCTAGAGTATTTTAAGTATATTCTTGAAAAAAATACACTTTTACCCTTTCATATTTCAATATGTGTTAGAAGGATATTTAACAATAAGGATTAATCCCCTTTTCCAAAAATTAGCTGGAAATTGGAATCTCCTTTCCAATTATTTTCACCTTCCAGTTAATTGGTGTACATTCTAAATTAGCTGCCAAAAGGAAGTGAATAAGGAGATGCTTAGATTTTAGCACTGCAGACTGGAAATGCAAATACTGTTACAAGATTATATCTTGCATAATGAAAGCACAAAGAAACAAACTTTCACCATCAAAAATTAAAAGCAGTTTTATAAAAACAGAAAACAAAATTCTCAGGAAATGAGAAATTTTGACTTGCCATTGCAGTCGTATTTGTGCACCAGTAAGAAGAAATTATATACTTGGAGCTAACAGAAAACTGCTAGTGGATATATTTTACATTTGAAAGTCTTCAGTTTTTGACTGGGCATGGTGGCTCATGCCTGTAATCCCAGCACTGTGGGAAGCCGAGGCGAGTGGATCACCTGAGGTCAGGAGTTCGAGACCAGCCTGGCTAACGTGGTGAAACCCAGTTTCTACTAAAAATACAACAAATTAGCTGGGCATGGTGGCGTGCCTGTAATCCCAGCTACTCGGGAGGCTGAGACAGGAGAATGGCTTTAACCCGGGAGGCAGAACTTGCAGTGGGCCGAGATTGCGCCATTGCACTCCAGCTTGGGCAACAAGGGCGAAACTCCGTCTCAAAAAAAAAAAAAAAAAGTCTTCACTTTTTAAGGTTACCTGAAACCTATACATAGTAATAAATGCACTAAACTAGATTATTCTTATAACAGCCTATGTTTTTCTTTCTCCCTCCTGTGTAAACTTTAATGCTAAATGCACCGTTGTTCACTCATATGTAATATTTAAAGGAAGCAGCTCCATAATGGTAAAGTAAAAGTGAAAAGCCCAAGTGAAAAATGGAATGCACGTGTATAAGCCTTCTACTCGAATGTGTACTGAGAATTAGAAAAAAATTTAACCAATGCTAATTCACTGAAAATCTTATAAACTCGGTGGAATAGAGTGGAAAAAAGAGAAGAAATTCAGATTTGGAACACCTGATATACATTCTCAAGTTCCACTACTAGCTAGCTGGATGGATGGAACAAGGACGATGTGAAGATGAATGCCCTTCACTTTAAAAACATCACATACAAGACATTGTTTTTTATTGTCATATACAACTATTTTTTTTTAAGTGTTAGAATACTATGGCTTTATTGAAACAGCTAAGCTGCCAGGTGATTTAGAGGTTGCTGTGGTAACTGTTTCCCACCTAATAGCAGAATATGCGAATATAAATAAGCATGCAAGTTGAAGGTATCAATGCCTGAGGGCAGCATATAAACCTACCATCTATTTCAGCATCTATTTTCAGAAATTGTGCAGTTTTACCCAAATATGCTTGCATTCAGATGCCTTATTTTTCCTCCCTTTTGTTACCTCTAACCCGGTTTGTGTTTGTACACCCTTCTGACCCCAGAGATGAGGTGATAATGGAGAGATCTTTGTGGGGAGCAGGGAGAATGCTTGATGAATTTTCGAATAGGCCTAATTGAAAAACAAAGCTAGTTACATTTTATCATTTGCTGTAAACATTCTTTGAACAGAGTGGAATCACAGATTTTTCCTTGTAAAATCAATGAGCGCTTTGTACTTTAACTGGGAATTTATTAGCCTCTACATTCAATAAGTTTGCCTCACTAATGTGAATCAAACCATTACAGTCTGCTCAAATACTTTTGATTTTGGCATCTGAGAAGAACTTTGTTGGGATCTGTGTTCCCTACGTGCAGGTAATATTGAACTGGAAAAGGGAAACCAGTCCAAATGGGAACAGATGTCTTCTCCACTACCAGTTTCCAGTTTCAAGTTCAATATCTGCACATACCAAGTACAATCAGTGTTTTATTTAAATATGTAAATGTATTACATTTACACTAGTGAATTTTAGGAATAGAGCCTTTATGGGACCTCTTTTCCGACTTGCTTCTCCACTCCATTTTAAAATTCTCTACTGAAGTTTTCCTTCCTCCACCACAGTGCCTGCATTTTGCAAAGTAATTCATGAATGCAGCTAAAAAGAGAAGCGTTTAACAGCTAATCTGCATTTTTTTGCTTCAGCATAATATCGATCTGACAGTAAAAGTTTTGATAAGGTGCACTTTTTGCAGGGTGGAACAAAGAGCAATAAATTAGTTTTGAACTTCTATGATCTTGTATTATAGAGTCTACAACAGACGTTGTATTCAAATCAATTGTCAAAGTGAAGAAGGATTAATAACTGTTGTACTATATAACCTTTTACATAACTGCAGCCTGAGGAAGGGAAAACTTTAAGATCTACTGCCGTATTTCATTATTGTAATTCCTAATAGAAGACCCTTTTCATTATAGAAAAAGGGGAAAAAAAGAACATCTTAGTTTGTAGATTTGTTTGTAGAACTTATTTCAATTTTCCTTGACATTATTGGGAGATAAGTTGAAAGTAGACCCAGAGAAGAAAATTCCCAAGAGAATTTTGGATTATGAAGTCAAAGAAAAGAATAAATAGCAGAGATGTTGCTTTACAGGAGACATCATATTAGATTACGTTTCCTTTCTATTGTTTTATCACTGATAAAGTGACTTTTGTCTGAAAAATCTTGAAAATTTCTATAGATAGAATAATTTTAGTGGGTCTTAGGGTCATATGTAGATGATTCTGGAATCAATATTGCTTTTTCCAGAGAAAGAAACTGAGTCACAAAGTGATTCAATAACTGCCTCAAGATAATTACCCAGCTCAGTGATTCTGTCCTATATTTTAGTGTCTGAATGAAGAAGAAACCTAGACCTTCAGACTCCTATGTTAAATCACCATACTCTACTTACCTCCCCTCGATGATTATGGCCCTTTCACAGAAATTCTAAAATAAAGTTCACCTCACTGTTGCTAAGAATTTTTGTACAATATAGAAAAGGACAACATCTTTGTTGTCAAAGACCAATAGAATATGATTTACCACGGCAAAGGCAAGGAGTTTCTTCATTTTAAACTGTAGCTTGGCTGGAAGACATTAAGAATATTCTAAACCATGTGGAGTCAGACGGCTCCTCAAGATGACATGGCCTAAAATAACACAGTGACAGGACAGTACTCTAAAATGGGCTTTAGAATCGACTTCAGGAATAGAACAGAGAATTAAGAGTTAGGAGACTTAAACTCTAGTCCCTGACCAGCTGTGAGGCTTTGGACAATTCCTCTCCCATTGCTGGACTCTGTTTTTCTATCTTTAACAAGATTAAAAGGAGGAAGTTAGGTTAGAATTAGTGACTCTCCTTGCTTATTCAAATCAGGATTCAATCAAATATCATGAATAATTTTTGTCTAATGTAATAGACCCACACCTTTTTTTGTTCTTTATAAATGAGTTTTTAAAGAGATGGGAACCGTGATTCTACAGAATGTTTGATCTTCTGGATTTAACTACTTCCTTTCTTGTAGTATATAATTCATTCCTCACATCCCTGAATTTCCTGTAAAGTGAAAGTTAGGTTAAAAGGCTGTATGAGATTTTTGACAAGTACATAGCATAGGTGCTGCTTCATACTTCATATTGCATTTTATCAAAAGGCTCATACTGACTGCTTATGCACTATTAGTGATCATAAGTAATTGTTGTTTAGGGTGGTTACAACTTTGTACCTACATTGTAAAGTTTTAATTTTCCCTTGAAACTGGCAAGTACTGTGATACTTGTGACCATGACATTTTTGAAGTCTGAAATAGTAAGGATAAAAACTTTATTAAAAAGACCCCAAAATGTGGTTTATTACCTTTTCTAATTCTTTCCACAAATCCTTTTAAATTAATGGTGTTTAAGATTGTCCTCTCTCTTCTATTGTACTCTTACTTTCTCTATGAAAAAATGGCAAGTATCTGGTGATATATTATTTTAAGAAATGTTCTTGTAAAGAAAATCCAAATATTTGATTTTAATAATAATAAGAAGAAATTACCTAGCAATTAATTTTTAAAGGAACAATTTTAATAGTAAACAATGGTTTTCAAGACCATATATAGGACAGAATTTATTTTGCAAAATTCCATGAAAACGAGTTTTTTTTTAAGTTAACCTTTTTTTCTTTCACAGTGTAGTATTGAGATTTATGTACGCTTACATATATTTTTTCAGCTCATTTGCTGCAGAGTACCTCACCTGATTATATAAATATCCTTTTTCTCTGTATATTTATATACTGTATGTGCTAATTTTACTGGCCTAGGAAGGACTGCTAAAACTGCAAAACGGGCTAGTTCAGGTTTGTCTTCAATGAATTGAGTTGCTCTATCAATTGAAAGGTCATAAGCAGGTATGCTTAATGGGAAATAATTTTTGTAACAAGCATCTGTGAAAAAAATTACACAAAAATTGCTTCTGAGGAATTTTTTTAATGACTGATTTTTAATAAACTCACCTACTTGACTGAAGATTTGAATGTAGAAACAAAAGAATCTAAAATTGCCTTAGGGAGTGAGGTCAGGTGAAGGTTAGTCAAAGGAAGGGGGAATTAAATGGCATTCATGGCTTTGGAAAATGTTTAATCATTGCGAACACATACACACTTAGCATCAGAGCATTGATAGGTAGGCTCTGTAAATACAATTTTATACAATTAGGTGAATGTTTCATTTTATTCTTATGATTTGGCTTTCTGCCTGTATTTCACTTCGTAATAGAATTTTGAAATTTGAAAAATAGGGAATGTTAAAACAACTATGGGGTATTAAGATATTCAAATTATTATTTTGGCTTACAGTGAGGATTAATTTTAGCAGAACATTGAAAGAAGGCTTTACGTATATAGAATTTGTAGGGGACCTAAATGAGGAGAAATATGCAGAATTTCTATAATCAAATGTTCTAGTCCATAAAAAAATAGAAATAGTGACTAATTTCTATACACACTTAGCTGGAAATTGAGGATGTAAGCAGAAATTCCTTTTATTATGAAGCAGTTGATTATAAACAAGAATTTTTAACTCTCAACATAGGACAGTTTCTTATGAAGAAATACTTCAAGTGGGTTGTTATGTATGTTCTCAGACAATATTTTAATAGTTAAAAATGCCTGATTAAATATTAATTCATCCCCTTTTTGCTGTTTTTTACCCTACTTTTCCTAGATTAAAAGCAAAATTAAATTAATAAACAAATCTTAAAAAGATGTTCCTTTAAGATTGATGAGCTTTCTTTATAAAAAACATTTCTGTTAAGTATACTTAATTTTTGCAACAATCACTTGGATACTTTAACAATATGGGGTCAACCTTTAGTAACTTTATTACTCCCTGAGACAATTGCCTCCCAGTAAGACAACCTTTATTTCTTTTCATTTGACTATATACAATTAATGTTATTAAGAGATTTTTTGGATGTAGGACAGAGATTTCTTCCTTTTTCTGCTTCCACCAACTATATTGCTGAAGAAGAAGGCAGTGAGGATGAAGAAGAGACTAAAGTTTCACTTCATTGATTATTACTAACAGGGAAATCTGGAAAAAGTATTTTAAACTCTCTAAAATTATTAAATCACCAGCAGTTATTATATTAATTTTCTAATAAAATCTTCTGAAGACTTCCTACTTACACTAACAGTGATAATTGCAATGCAGTTTATCTGAGGATGCACTGGCAGACCTTTGCAGACTTAATCAAAATGGATTATAAGGAAATTGTACTGAGCAAAAAGCCTTTTATGTGAAACAAAACTGATGAATTTTGCAACGTGTTGGTTTGCAAAATTATGGAAAGGAAAAAAAAAGTGGTGTGCTGTTATAACTTTGCCGAGTTTCTTCCTCCTCAAAAAATGTTTTTCTCTTTTCAAATTTCCCCATTGTGGCACAAAATAAAGCTAATGAGATAGAGTTACAGAATAGAGACAACTAATATTTCTAGAATCTAGAATACTTTAATATTTCTGGGATCTGCATTTTTACTATATAAAAGCCTTTAGTGTCTTACGTGGAAGATGCTGTCAAAAGTAGTGTTGTGAGAAAATCATGTGCTTTTTTTGTTTTAAATTTTGGAACACCAAAATAATTCAGTATTTGTTAACTTGGTTAAACAACCTATCTGTTTTGTAAAAACAAACAATCAAAAAAAAGAAAAAAAAGAAAAGAAAAAAAAATCTAACCAACTACCTAGGAAAAACTGTCCAGCCTTTAGTATTGCTCCCAGAATAATTGTTACTCATTTTTCTTTTATTTGGAGATGAAGAAGAAAATGTTCTTTTACTTTTAGACAATGGGAGAAGATATTAGAATAGCTGTGTACTTAGAACTAAGTTTTACAGAAGGGAAGGCTAGTCAAAAAGAGGGTTAAGAAAAAATCTGAGCATACTTTTTACTTATTTTATGGTATTTATCGTTTAGGCCTTGTTTATGAAATTATGAATGACTCAAAGTGGAGCTAACAACCAGACAGAAAGGACTTATTTAATGACCGATAAGTTAATGTGGTTTGATGAGGGTTTTTATTATTTTTCAATTTTTAATTAACTCATAAATGCAGATGAATGTTGTGCCTAAAGAAAATGAGTAAGTCACACAATCTCACAATTTGTTCCTTTACCTATACAGATGGAGCGAATAATATCTACTAATACGGTTATTGTGAATGTTAGAATGGGAAGAAAGAATTTTAAGTCCTATCTGATTGGGAGCCTTTGTATAGATCTAAAACAAAGGGGTAAAATGAAGTAATTGTCCAGAGAATCTGGGTAGGAAACTCACTTTAGTCTTCTTTATTTGATATTTTTAAAGGAAATGCTTGTTGTGATTTGAGCCAACTTTATATTTGAGCCTTTGTTTTCATGCAAATTCTATAAAAATACATTTTTTACTCTCATAAAAAATTTCAAAAGCTGCAAAATGCTTTTTTGTTCCTTTTAGTATTTAAACCTCTTATTCCTTGTAGGACTTAATAGGGTGCATCACAACCTGAAAAAAGTATAGCAACTGTTTCTGTCTGTATAAAATGAAGGTAGTAGGATTGTAGTAGGGATTAAGTCCTATAATATGTGTAAATATGCTTTACAGAGAAAAATATTTTATACAAATTTTAATTATGTTTTTCTCTTATTTATGCTGGCTCTTGTACATGGAGAGATATTATCAGGAGAGCTTCTCCTTCCAAGGAAGTTTTCTTGTCATGAGCCTGGGTTTGCAATGAGCCAGTCACACTTACCTGGTTTCCCTTGTGACAAAATTAGGCGTTTGCCATTTGGCTCACTAGGGTGATGGCTGCAATTTGTGTTATTGAAAATAAGTGATGCTAATTGGTCCATGTGGAGGTAAGTCTTGTCGCCTTGGTCTCATTAATGCCATGATTTAGCCAACAGAGCTAAGCAGCAACGAACTCAACGATGAAGCTACTAACTTCCCATTGCATAATTTTCCCACACTCTCAGCTTTCTCACATTTACATTTTTTACTATATTCGCAAAAAAAGTATATTTATGCCCCTGAAGATTTTCCAGATTCTAAAAAGTCTGACAGTGAAATTTTATCATACAGAAAGTTGTTTGCAAATGTGCTTGGAACTTAATAAAAATGTATAGCTTGAGAGACTTGGCAGTTTTTTAATATATGCACCTCCCAAGTTTTACCCAGCTGGAAGGAGGAAACCCTGATGAATTTTTATGCCTCTTGGAGAGCTAATAACAATATTTGTTGAAGTGAGGATTCTTTCGGGAGCCCTTGAGGAAAAATACTATTCTCCTCTTTGAGTCGGTGAAATTTGAAGAACAACTTCAAGCAGCAACACTGTTGTCAAAAGAAACAGATGGGGCAGTTTCTGAGGTCATTTCTTACAGTATCTAAAATTAATTTACAGTAAAATATCTACCTAACTAGAGGCTAATTTCTTTTAAGAATTTCTGAACTGGAAAATGAGCTCACCAGCTTCCTGCTTCAAATTTCTCTTTGTAGAACCGATCAAGCGGAAGGATGGGTATTATCTGAAATGTAGATCTGAAAAAAGAACATTAACAATAATGGCATTTCTTCACGGTGTTCATTTAGAAATATGAGTGTAGCAAGAGTGTGTACATAGAAGATGCCTTCACTTAAAACCCATCTGTCCTCAATGGGGTCATCAAAAGGTCAGATATTGTGTCACCTTGGGCCATTTAGCAAAAACTAAAGCTTTCTTTCCAACCTTTAGGCCTTCTTTTATTTCCTGGAGACTGGCTTCCCCTTGGCAACAATTCAAAGTGCTAATTCCATAGGTTGAAGGCCTTTAAAATGGAAAATGAAAATCCCTCTTGACTCCCTGTAGTTGATTAATTTGCCACTAAATGTGGGTGAGGGACAAGAAAAGTTGTCATTTTTTTTCCGAAAGAAGAAAAGAACAGTGGGGCAGAACTGATTGCAGTTAAATATATGTTTTAACAAACATGAGAGAGAATTAAAGAAAACAAATATGTATAGAATATCCAATGGGCTGTGTCTTCAAGTTTATGTTTTTTTAAGTATAAAATAATATGATTTGTTATGTTTATCATCATGTTGTTTGTTGATTCATATTACAAATACTGGAAGCATTTATGTTTTTCATATTTGCTTTCTGAACTCCGGCAGAGATGTGTTGTGACTGAGAAGAAGTTACTCCTGGCCCCGCCCCCACACACAATGGTGCATGACATATGATTAATGCAAACCAAAGTTTTGGCAAATATGTGTGACTGTGAATATTTGGAATCACCACTCACTGTGAAAAACTCTTTGTCATAATGTTGGTTTGAAACAAATGGTTTCAGCACTAATGAAGAATATAGCCCAGACAAAATAATTAATCAGGAGGTAATATTGTATGACTGTGTTGGTATGAAAGGAGAGTGACCAATTTTTATCATTTTTTATAGTTTTGGTTTCTCTCAATGATACATAGGTAAATGACACTCAAAGAAGTAAATAGTAGCATGCTATAAGACATAAAAGAGCTTTTAGAGACCATCTAGCCCAACTGCTTATTCAATGGAAAGAAAATGGAGACTCAATAAAAGTAATCATCTAATTAAAGACAGAAAAGTTATTAGTATGTAGTTTCCCAGACCTATGATTCCTTCCACTACATTATGCAAATTGTATAGGTTTACCCTGTCTTATCTTTAGCCACTCCTTTTCTTGACCTCTTATTTGTTAGTTTGCTTGCTTGCTTTTTTTATAGGCAATTTGAAAAATTGGTAGGTCAAAATAATAGTTTATTCGTATCATATGAATACAGTCTCTGGTCTATAAGAATCAGAGAATGTTAGATTTGGAAAAGACTTTGCGCTGAGTATAGAAATCCATTTTTCAGTAACCTTGTTGAGAATTATTTAGTTTTTGCTTGGACACTTCAGAATGGGAGCTCGTTTTTTCTTTTTTTTTTTTTAAAGGAATGCTATTTTATTATCTGATAATATTGTTAGAAAGTTTTAAAATATTATACTAATATTTGCCTCTTTGTGATTTGCATCTATAGTTCTTTACTTTTGTTCCACATAGGACCATACAGAACCAATTTTATTTGTTTCATGTGTCAGCATTTCTACACTTAAGCAAATTTAATCATGCCTTTCTTACCTTCTAATGTCTCCCAATTCCTTATATGAGAGCATTTCCAGATCTTTCAAGATCCCATGGATTTTTTTCTGCATGGTGTCCAGTGGGTCAATATTCCTCTTCAAAATGGATGACAATTTACAGATTTATTTTGAGGAGTACAGAATGCAGGACAACTTTGGTCCAGATATATATATATATATATATATATATATATATATATATTTTTTTTTTTTTTTTCTATCACGGGCAATCAGTATTTTGAGTGTTTACTATGAGTCAGAAACTGCTATGCACTTTACATGAATTATTGAATTTAATCTTCACCGTTACCCCATGAGTTAGGTACTTTCATTATTTTCATGTCATAAATGACAACACCGAGAACCAGATACACTGAGTTAGTTATTCAATGGCTCATAGTTAATAAATGGCAGGCATGAACCCAAGATTTCTTAACTTTCAAAACTGGAGTGTAGACTGCTACCTTATGCTGCCTACTATACCACCTGAGTGGCTTATTTGCCTACCCTCCTACTGTTGGTTCATTTTAATATTGTACATAATCTGGCCGGGCACAGTGGCTCACGCCTGTAATCCCAGCACTTTGGGAGGCCGAGGTGGGTGGATCACCTGAGGTCAGGAGTTCGAGACCAGCCTGGCCAACATGGTGAAACAGCATCTCTACTAAAAATACAAAAATTAGCTGGGTGTGATTGTGCACCTGTAATCCCAGCTACTCCGGAGACTGAGGCAGGAGAATCGCTTGAACCAGGGAAACAGAGCTGCAATGAGCCAAGATCGTGCCACTGCACTCTCGCCTGAGTGACACAGCGAGACTCCGTCTCTCTCTCTCTCTAAATATATATATAGTACATAATCTTAAATTATTCCATTTCACACAAAAAACAATAAAATTTAGTTTGTACTTGTACACGGGGCTTATAATCAATTGCTAGTAGACAATTACATTTTTTCTTTTCCAGTTTTCATCCTGAAAGTATTGCTCTAACCATCTAAATTTTTCAATACTACTTTATCTCTTAGATGTGTCATTTATAGTGTCGACTAACAAGCCATTAACATATTTAATTAAATTATCTATAAATATTGGACAGGACAGGGAAAGCCTTCCCGGTTGATATACATTTATTGCCTCATATTGTATACGAATATCCAACCAGGTGCAACATCACCTTATAATACTGTCATATAGCTTATGTTTTCCATGTCATTCACAAGGATATTACAGGAAACTGTCAAGTACCTTGCTAAAATAAAGCTACCTTGTGGCTATAGCATCCTGCAATTAATTCAACAATTATTGATTGAACATCTACTAGACAAGAATGGGATGAAAAGATAACTACTGACCTTAAAGCACCCATTGTCTTGTAAAGAAAACAAGACTGTAAAATAGGCTGGACACAGTGGTTTATGGTTGTAATCCCAGCACTTTGAGAGGTTAAGACAGGCAGATCACTTGAGGCCAGGAGTTCCAGACCAGCCTGGGCAACTTGGTGCAACCATTTGTCTACATAAAAATACAAAAATTAGCTGGGTGTGGTGGTGCTTGCCTGTATTCCCAGCTATTCAGGAGGCTGATGTGGGAGGATTATTTGAGCTCAGGAGGTTGAAGCTGCAGTAAACTGAAATAGTGCCATTGCACTCCAGCCTGGGTGACAGAGTGAGACCTTGTCTCAAAATAAGAAGAATGTAATATAATTAACTCTACTGGACCCTAATCTGTTTAAAAACAGAGATACAGATAATATGCCTTGATGGGTCAAAGGGATGAGGAATTATTTCTAATTTATGAAGAGAAAAAGAATGTTTATCAATCTAGGGAAACTCCAAAAAGGGAGTTTTACTTAATTTGGGGATTGCCTATTAGTAAATCAATTCTAAATCTTGGTTATTGTTTCCACTTGAGTCACAAAGTATAAATCCTTAGATGTACTTTTCTGTCAAAACAATCACTTGTTGGGTATTTGATAATTTATGCTAGGGTAAGTCAGTTTGGCAAGCTTAATGTCTTGGAACTTAAGACACAGTTATTCTGTGTTCTTTCCAAAAACATATAAAGTCTTCTCTTCAAACTACCTACTTGAGGAGTTTTCTAGTAACTTCAATGAGTGTTTTCTTATCTTTATAGGTCATTTGCATCATAAGGGATCACTTCAACAAAACTTTTTACCAAAAACTTGTTTAACAAAACTTTTCCAATGTGGCTTCCTCTCAGAATTCTACTGCTTCTCACGGGGGCTCTGCCCTTTTGTTGTTTGGAATATTTTAAACATCTTTGAACAGACAGAACAGAATCATTTAAAAACACAACTACACAGTGTTTTCCTCAAACATGCATACAATATTTACAAATTAAGCCTATGTCTACATGGTGCTAAAATATCTGCTCAGTTCCGTCTTACTTACTGTATTTTGTTGTTGCTGTTGTTGTTGTTGTTATATGTGACCATGTGCCCTGGGTTTAAAAAGAGGACTCTAATTTTAAATAGTTTGTCTCATTGTCCCCATAATTACGCTTATATCTGTAGGAACATGTGTCCTATTTTGAGGAGGGGGGGAAAAGTTTATCTGCTTACTTTATAGATAAAACATTTTAAAGATTGAATTATTTACATGGGCCAGATATTTTGGTGTTTTATAGATGAACCCTAGATGTCATTAGAATATGATATGTTGGATATGTTGCTCTTTCTATTCATGTCTCTCTCCTTCACCTAACACGTGGTTTGAGAACTCACAAGCAAACCAAAAGCTAAAACAATTAATCTTGGCAACACTAAAGCTTACTGGGTTCATTATAAAAAACAAGATGTAGATAAGAATATTTTAAAATATATTTCAAAAGGCAAAGCAGAAACACAGTCACTCTTTAAATGTTTCTTAATGCTCCACAAGGCAGATCACCATATTGAGGCACATAAAATTATTAATTATTGAGCATGTTCTCTACACGCAAGGAGCAGTCACTCATCACCCCTGAGCCTCTGTTTCCTTTTCTATAAAATGAGAATGACAATAAATAACAGTACCTACCCCATTGAGATGTTATAAACATTAAGTAAAACAATTGTAAATTGTTTAGCGATCCCGCTACATACAAAGGAAGTGCACCATGAATATTAGCTACTAATATCATTATAACCAGAAAACATATCTTTATATAATTCAATATAAAGACTGTGTAATACATTAAGGCAAAAGGAGGGTTTGGAGTTGAGCTTATAGTTAAGAAAATGGACAAAACTGGTGACAAGAAAAAACCCTAGAGGAAGTAGATCTTGAACAATGAATTAAAGAAAGGAAAATATGAATTACATGGATAGATAGGAAAACAAGGGGCGACACATACAAAAAGACAAACTTGACTGTTATGTGAGCACTAAAACCTGATTTATTATAATAAACAAAATATTCCATGTAGTAATTTAGCGCATTGCCAATCAAATGTCATAATTTTAGTTTGTCATTATTTCAGGTAGTTTTTTTTTTTTTTTTTTTTTTTTTTGAGATAGAATCTCACTCTGTTGCCCAGGCTGGAGTGCAGTGGTGCGATCTCGGCTCACTGCAACCTCTGCCTCCCAGGCGCTAGTGATTCTCCTGCCTCAGCTTCCCCAGTAGCTGGGACTACAGGTGCGTGCCACCACACCCGGCTAATTTTTTTTGTATTTTTAGTAGAGATGGGGTTCCACCGTGTTAGCAGGATGATCTCGATCTCCTGACCTCATGATCCACCCGACTAGGCCTCCCAAAGTGCTGGGATTACAGGTGGGAGCCATGGCACCCAGCCTCAAGTAGTCTTTTTTAAGCCACATATAGTTACAAGAGTTGAATCCAAAGGTTGAACTAATCAGCCACCTGAATCTACTAGGGTCACTCTTTTATGGGATGCCTCATGTCCGTCTCTGTAATTTTTTTTCAATTTCTGTCCTTTATCAAACTTTTACTTAGAATTGTGATCTTTGACATCTGTGGTCTGTATTTTGAGTCTTTACATGGTTGATTGGTGATATCTGGGTGAATAATACTTATGATAACAATTGCTTAATAGCATTTATTATGCAACAATTCCTGGACTTAGTACTTTAGATCAATTACCTCATTACATACCTCATAAGGTAATCTTATTATCATCCTTATTTTACAGATGAAGAAATGAAGGCTCGGAATGGACAAGTAACTTATCGAAGGACACATAGCTAAGTGGTAATAGTTGGATTTTGAACTTAGACCGTTTGGCACTTGATTCTATTTTACTACATTACACTGCTGCCTATTAGAAAGTTCAATCACTGATCATATTGCCTAACAAATAATAAATTCATTATAAACATTTATTGAATGAATGAGAATGAATGAATTAATGTTGATACGGGTTAAACTTGTAGGACAATCTCACTATGCTAGTATTGTTATAAAGAAGAAAACTAGGTAATTATTCATTACACTTAATCCATGTTGATGACCAGGCCAAGTCAAACACTCATTTATGACTCAATATTATCTTCTTTTTTTGACCAGCTATTATAATTACCTAAACCATTCACTGAGAATTTCCTAAAACAAAGCAAAAAGAAGAAGGTATAGTATCAGATAAATTTGGTATCTAACTCAAGACCAATATTTCACATTTCAAATTATTCCACGGACCAGTATAATCTAAATTTATTACTAAAGATGCCAACAGACATGGAGAAGAGAAAAAAATTAAGAAAGTCATAATATAACCACTGTCAAAGCAGATGGGGTGGAAAGGAATCTAGGAACTATACATTTGACTTTCTGGACTAATCCATGAGATTATTGTTTAGACGGATTGCTCTATACTGCATAATTCAAGTTTTACCTCATACTATTTGTATGTGTTTCTCTCTGTCCATCTGTATTGAGTTTTCTAGTTTGACAATGGACATTATTCTGGTGAGCTGGCTAATTTCCAAGACTCCCTTTTATTTCATAACAGATAGAATTAGCCACAATTTCTATTTCACACTGCCTATGTGTAGACACAGGGATCACTCAATTTGCAAGAAGAAAAATAAGTTACCGTGTTGGAGAGGAATTTCCAAAAGCTCTATCTTCATTTCTGACATGACAAAGCTCAAGGAATGTAATTAGAGTCTCTATTATGACGCAGCGAAGTATGGTCATGAACTTTACTAAGTTACTGCCACCTAGATACTTTGGGTTCAATATGGGAATGCCTCAGACAAGAGATTCATTGACATCTATCCATTTATCTATGTATCTATCTATATATCTCTCTAAACATGTATCTATATTTGGTAATATATTTTTATCTTTAAAACAAGAAAACAGGGGAGTCTGAAATTTGTGTACTGCATTCCTCTGGCTTTATTTTTTAAAAAGCTAGGCTTTATTTCATCAAATCAGTAAGAGTTTTCTATTTGTGTTTTGCTTCCTTTTTTCTGTCTCTTTTTCAAAGGTAGATCAGACACTATTCTATTGAATCAAAGTTTAATTGAATGAAATAATCAATTTTCAGTTTCACTGCAGAGGAAAATGGAATAATCTCTTAGTTTGCTGATTATGTTATTAAAATTAGCAGCAAAATGTTTCTTTTTACTGAATTTGTTTTCACGTCAATATACATTCTTTAAATGTTTCACAATTAGTCCATCTATGTACATTTTGAAGTAATGACCTTTTGAAATATTCTTATATTCTAATATTAATATTTCTATTCTTTTCTGAATTTGCAACTTTGTGCATAGTGTATGTAAGTTCAGTGGCTTCGGGTCTGAAACTTGATTTTTCTCAGTATAGCTGCATTAGCATTCAGCTGTGAGTATGTAAGATAATGGTATTAAAAGCAACTTCCATTCTGTTGTCATGGATGCAGCACAGCCCAATACTGGTGACACTATACCACTAGCCTTTGTACAATCTCATTTTTATCTACTAATTTTAATTTCATTACATGTAAAATTCAATCACTATACCAAAAAAGTTATGATTTATTTGATATTTGAGGCATTAAAATGTTAGAATCTATTGGTTATTTTTGAATTTAAGTTTCTTTAAAAATGATTTTTAAAGCAATATATATATGTCACTGTCAGTTATGAAAATCAGAAACAAGAATCAAGAAAAATATAACATCATACAAGGAAGAGAGTCTTTTTTAAGTGAGTCAGTTATTCGGTATATATTCTTTGTGTGTATGTTATATGAGGAGAAGTAGTAGTATTCTATAAATAAATTATAGAAATAGCACTTTTTTAAATTATTGGAGAATTGCACCATGTTCATAACATATTTTTTTACAAAAGCTATATACCATCGTTTCTAAAGAACACATTTTGTCAAAAGAAGTACACATTTGCTTGATAACTAATCATGTTAGTGGAAAAAAATTGGTCTCAGGAATGCTTGTCCCAGAGCTGATGGCCATAACTGGACCTAGAAAAACAATATGCAACTCTATAGAAGGCAGGAATTTTAGGATTTATAAGAAATTTACTTTTCATTATCTAATAACCTAAAGTATATGTAAGGACAGGGTAAATGCTTAAGAAAATAGCCAAATTTATAGCTGATTGCCTAGAAAGTATAATATCCAATATGTCCTCTCTTTATTTGTGGGTATGTATTTATTTGTACTTTTTGTGAATAAAATACCACTTTGTGATGTTCGTTCATAAAAAAGTCTTCGTCCTTTTATGTACTTATTTTTGTACAAAAAGAGATGATTGGCATTTTAATTTTAAAATAGCAAATAGCAAATAAAGAGATCCTTCATCTGTTAAAAACAATTTTTTCCTTTTCTGTGTTTTAATTCTGATAGTTTGCATTTTTATGGTGTGAGAGCAAATTTTGAAAAGGTACTCTATGAAGCCTCCATAGTATTTTTCAATAATTTTTTATTTGATGGTTGCTTTTCTGCATTATTTCAAATAAAAAATGAAAAATAAAAATTTCAAAAGTAGCTTTGGATATTAACTTTTGATATATTAGTAATAAAATATTTTTATTTTACATAATTAAATTTGCCTCCTGTTTTTCAATAATTTGAACCAGACAGGTTGTTTTTTTGTTATGATTACACCAAACATCTATCACCTTATTTACATAAAGACACCTCAGATTGTATATTGCTTTGGCTGAGGATGATGGTAAAATGGGGATGCTACAGAGTGGGGGAAATTTGGGCCCACTTATAATTAAACAACAATGAAACTACATGCATCAGTCAGTAAAAGCAGGCATCTACATTATGGAGTGAAAATTAAAGAGTCAAACACCCAAATATCTACTGTATCTGCCTGCTGCTAGACACTGAAGCATGGAGAACAGGATACACCTCTATGGATGGATAGATTTCCTTATTAAAAAAACACAGTGGGAAGCACAGTAGGGGAACTTACTAAAACAAGGCTTTATGTAATTTCCTTGAAAGAAATTTCCCAAGATAGCAACTTGAAAAGCTTTAAATTGTATGACTAGCTATAGAATGCGCTTTGCAATTGGTTGTATTTAAAAATTCCATTAGTTTGCAACAGATCTGGTAGAGTTTCCCAAACTTTTCTCTCTTTTATTTTTTTCTTTATAAAACATTTGATATCCAGACTCATTAAAATGCATACATATTTGTGTCTGAATCCCTCTAAAATATATTCTCAATTATATATTAGCTATTTTTATTTTGGATGAAAAATTTGACATAGAAACTGACATAATGGCATCACTGAATAAAATAATAAACTTTTATCGCTATATTTACTGCTTCATCCATTTAATGTCTCACATGTTTTATCAGGTGAATACTGAAGGCAGTGTGGCATCCTTTTACTCCTTATAAAAAGTCGACTTAACTGCTATAAACCTATCTTACTTCACACTATTCACTCCTAATAGTTGAAAAGAAATATGTCAAATGTCAGTTTGGAACTACTTGAAATAGTTTCTATTCTACTGTGAACTTTTTTTTTTTTCTTATCTTAGGTGTGACTTGTATTTTTGGAAAATTAATTTTTTTGAACTTGAGTGTGCCTGTTATTTACATTGTCCATTAAATATATTTAAACAGTTAAGACTTTGATAAATTATCATCTAAAAGTATTAAAAGAAGGCTTTGTGAATGGTAACCTATTGGTGGAGCATGATTGAGCAGCTTGTGAATGTCTGATATTCCTTAAATAGATTTCTAGTAATGTGACCAATGTTTTTCTAATATAATTAATCTATTTACATGTATTGTACTCTTAGACATATGTTAAGGTTCTGGTTATAGTAGACATAGAGTAGAAACTGATATAATTTGGAGCAAATTAACAGGCAGGTTCAGGAATTTTCGGTTCAAAAAAACACTCAATTTTATATTAAAATAAGCATTAGATTCATATTTATTAATTGTAGATTTAGATAATTCAACCTCAGCATCAGAAATCAACTCTGGATTTTACATAATTTGTTTTGAAACTTATAAAAATAGAACTTAATAAAATATAACTTGATTAGGTAGACAACAGTATATATTGAAGTAATAGCCGCATACTATCTTCATCAATCTTGATTTATAGACATGTTATTTTTATGTAGTCATTAGCAGCAACGCTTTAAAGTTGAATTTCCTCCTTCGAGTAGCCCTATTTTAAAAATACACATTAAAAAGCTGTATTGCTAAAAATGGTGGGTTTTTTTACCTTTTTGTTTAGTAATGTAATTATAATCTCCAGGTATTTGTATTTTTCTCACAAAAAGGAGCCACACAAATATTTCATAAATATAAATCTTGAGAGAACAGCCAGTATTTTTTTTTACTTTCATGTTGTCTTTATTTTAACACAAAGACATTTTTAACATATTGGTACAATTCTGTAGGTGGTACATAGCAGACGATTTTAAATTAATCTTCTTTCCTTTAGAGTAACACTTGTAAAATTCAGTGGTGTAGTTTTTGTTTATTTCATTATATTTGATCATCTTCCTACTAAATTTAATTTGCAAATTTATTAAACTACTTCAAGAAAGAGCATCTAAAGTGAAAGGATTATGTGTCTAAACTATGTCTACGTTTTGCCTGATGTTTTTTTAGCTGTCTGAAATTATATTAGAAAAACTTTCTTTTTTTTTTTTTTTTTTTTTTTAACTGTTGATATGTTCCTCAGTGTCAGGAATGAAAACTATTTCCAGTTTAAAGTTGAAGGGCTTAGATTTCAAAAGAAAAAAAAGCAGTGCTTAGTGGCACTTAAAATTGAATTGTCAGTTTTATCGAGAACATTATAGTACACCACATTTGAAGATATATATATTTAAATGATTACAAATCATATTTGCATAATTTTGAATAATTCTAGATTTGAAAAGAAGAATAAGGGTAGAAGGCCAATGAGATGATTATTGTTTGATAATGGGGTAATTTCTCATTATAAAACTCATGCAATCTTCATTTTTAGGAGTTTTATTTACTATAACCTTAAAATCCACATGCACTGTAATAATTACAAGATTTGGACTGAAAAATACCCATTGGTTATAGAAAGAGAAACATATTTTTCAGTTTGCATTTTAAGTTAAAAATCTGATGTTCATACGTTTAAAACAGCTTTCACACCAATAATGCACAGTTGCTATTTATAACAAATTTATTTTATGGTTCTTATAACCTCACCCAAAAATAAAGTATGAGAAGGATGGAAGATTTTCATGGGAAAGATTGCTTATACATTTCTACATTTTCAAGACATCAACGTGACTGTGGAGGGAAACTATATTTCAACATCATATGCTTATGCTACAAAAATGACCAGATATAATTTTGTTTTATATATTTCAGGGGGATTAAAGAGTTCCTGCAGGGAAACAGTTAATCTATGTTTAACTAAAGCTTTACTTTTATAATCTATCCAGTGCTTCGAGTTCTGTCATTGATCTATGATTTATGTGATTTAAACCACCTCTTGGCTGTAACACTGGTTTCTGTCCAAGATGCTGAGTTGAATACTAATTACAAGATCAAATTTATGCTGTCGGGCTAGGCAGCTGAATGAGTTCTCCATGAGGGACTCCCTTATCCATTCCCTGCCACGGTTGAACCTTAGGGAAGTTTTGTCAGAGAAAATAATAAGAAAAGAAATAAATGAATCAAAGAAAACTATTCTATATGCTTTAGTTTATTAAGCAATTATTTTTGAATCACACATATGCAGACATGAATGGAGATGTGGTTGTGCAGATAGAATACATAAACTGTACATTTACTGACTCATCTGTGTGTGTGTGTGCATGCGTTTTCATGTATGGGAACACAGAATAAATACTCAAATAAATATCCATGGCTTTCTTTATAACTCAAGTTAAATTAATGGCTAAGATCAGCTCCACAGAATGGCAAAGCTTCCATTCTTTGACTATACTCAAAAATTTCCAAACCCTAGATAACCAATTATTTTATTAGAGGTAACAAAATCCATTTGTTGAGAGAATAATTTAAGACATGCAGGTAACTAATTTTGTGTCTAGAGAAGTGGTACCCAAGTGGGGATGACTTTGTCCTCTAGGTGACATTTGGCAATGTCTGGAGACATTTTAGTTTTAACTGGGAAGGCAAGGTGCTACTTGGCATCTAGTGAGTAGAAGCCCGGGATGCTGTGCATTCTACAATGAACAAAACAACTTCTTAAAACAAAGAATTACCCAGCCCCATATGTCAATACTGACACTGTTGAAAATCTTGGTCTAGAAGTACCATACACTTGTCAGGCATTGCTGAAAAAATGACAGTAATTGGTATTTTTCACGTTAAAAAGAAAAGTCACACAAAATAACTAGGCCACATAAATGGCAGGATTCAAGTACTAGGATGTAGCTGTGAACAAAGCACAATTTAGAAGAATGCAAAACTTGAAGGACCACTCTAAAATGTGACTTTTTCAATTTCAGTGGGCCTTTGAGTTTAGTTTGTTTTTCAGAAACAGAGCCCTCCTTCCCATATGTGCATGCATGCCAACTTAAATCCTCGTTTCTTGAACTCACCCAAATACACATTTATGTATTATTGGTATATGCATGTATTTTTAATTTGGAGACCGATATACTTGTTTGTATATGGGTTCGATCCGTTTAGGCATCTTTTTAATTCGTGGCAGTTATACAGTTGAATTTCCTGTAGAGTAATGAACATTTATTCTTGAGACACATTTGCTATTTAGCCAAGTCATTTATTGTTTCTCCAGAAATGGAGACTTAGATTGAACTCTTCATGTAAAATGTGCAGCTAAAAAGCAGTGAGGTCCCAATTTCCATGATGGAACAAAGGCTGAATGCTCTGATTAGTCCTTTAAGCTGAAGAACTCGGAGGAGTGTGTGCATGTGCATGTGTTTGTGCATATATGTATGTGTAATTCAGGTTAGGAATGCCTGTAGATATTAAAATGTACACTTTAGATTTAACAACTGTCCATCACATCTTTGACAATGATTGTTATGCTTTAGTTACCACAATGGAATGGGGTTGACTAGAAGAATATAGACGCTAAAATCAGACTGTTTCCTAGTTTTGTCACCTTATAATAACTAAACACTATGTCTTATTTTCTCTTCTATAATTTTTGAATAAGAGTACCTACATCATAGGATTCTTTATGAGTTGAATAGGGAAATTAATCAGAACTTTAATTATTATTATTATTATTATTATTATGTGTCTCAAACTTGCAATTCCTATTTAGAAAAAAATTCTTTTTTTGCTTATTGATTTTAAATCAGCATAATGTTTATTCAGTTAATACAGGCTTCGCTGATGTAATTTCCATTATTTTATAATTTAGAGGAAATAATTATTCAGAGAAGGTCCAGATTCCTGGCACAACTTGTTTAAGGAGGAAGAGTCTACTATAGCAATTGGAACAAGAAGACACAACATGGAAGAACAACTTATTTTGACAGGTTATCTGACCATAGCAGTGGGAAAGTCAGGAACAGGTGACATTTGGAGAACCAAATAAGCAGGCAGAAATATGGCATCAAGGATGGCAATCAGTAGGTACCAAAGCCGTAGTCAAAGACTAGGATTTGGAAGAGAGATTCTCAGTCTTGGAGGGGAAGGGGCAACGTTTATCACTGCCACGGTGGGTTCTCAGGAAGGCCACTTTTTTCAGGGAAATGGAATTGGAGGCAAATAAAGAATATTCTTTAATGGATTTCGGTACTACCACTTGAAATCTAGTACTACAGTGGTTTTGTCATAAGCAGCAGTTATTTTCTACTTTACTGCCCCTCTTTCTATAAGGTATGTAAAATACAAGAAACTAGGATTAATAGAAGAGATTTACATATCTGTAATAATCCATGAGTTTTTCTCTAAGAAAGTCCACTGATCCTTCTTTAAAATAATGTTTGTATTTTTTACTTTATATAACTAAAAATTAATGTGAGTACTTTTTTAAACTTTTATTTTAGGTTCGAGGTACATGTAGAGGTTTGTTATACAGGTAAACTTGTGACAAAAGGGTTTGTTGTACAGCTTATTTTATCACTCGGGTGTTAAAACTTAAGGAGATTTTAGCAAGTCCACTAAGGTAGTAATCTAGTTTTAAAAACTGTCTTTAGAATGACTAGAACTATAGTGTCATCTGTAAGGTATTTTAAGGGTAGATATTAACCATAGTCTATTTAAAATGTCTCCGGTGATCTGTATAACTCAAGACTGGTAGTAGTAATGGAGATTGTGGACATTTTAATTATGTCCTGCTCTCCTTTTATTGGCCATCTGTGGAACCAGTCTTATAATTAATATAGTAGATTGTAGAAGGGTGAGATTAAGATCTTCTACTTTAAGTATTTTGAATTTGATCTGTTATTGTACTTTAAGTGCAATTGTTATTATACTTAAATGATGCATGACTTAAGGAGGATTTAATTTAAAAATATTTTCCCAATTCTGCTTTATAGAGATAGTGTTTTAATTCTGATAGTTTACATTTATATGGTGTGAGAGCAAATTTTGAAAAGGTACTCCATGAAGCCTCCATAATATGTTTCAGTATTTTTTTATTTGATGGTTGCTTTTCTGCATTATTTGAAATAAAAAATGAAAAACAAAAATTTCAAAAGTAGCTTTGGATATTAACTTTTGATATATTAGCAATAAAATATTTTTATTTTATGTAATTAAATTTGCCTCCTGTTTTTCAATAATTTGAAATAACACAATATCTTATTTATATGGAAACTTGAATCATGGTCAAATTGCATTATAAAAGTTTGCTAATTTTGCCCCTAAAATACTCATACCCTTATTATCTCCTACTTAGATTATTGAAATAGCATATTAACTAGTCTCTATGATTCCAGTTTCTCCTCATTCTAATTTATTATTCATATTAAAGCCAAAATCTGGGTGGAAACCTTCTAATTCCTTTCTTACCATTGTCAAGAAGAGGTACTTAAGTTTTATTATGCATCAGTGTCACCTAAATAGATTTATAATATGTAGATGCCTAGGCCCCACCCCACAAAATTTGATTCATAACATGGAGTAGAGCTCACTAATCTGAATTTTAACAAGCTTCTAGGTGTCTCTAATGTATGACTTCCTTTTACTACACTTTAAAAAATAGTGGCATTATGAATAAGGCCAAAAATCTTTCTCACAGCTTTTAGCATGCTCTAAAGAACAAAGTGATAATTCCCGTTTGGGAATTCAAAGATCGTAATTCTGATATTATCAAACCCAATATATCAGAAGCTATTGTAACCATTACAGAAAAAGGAATATAGATTATTCATGAATCTACAGGGTCACAAAAAGCTAATAGGTTACTTCAGCAGGGTGTGTGTGTGTGTGTGTGTGTGTGTGTGTGTGTACGTGTGAGAGAGAGAGAGAGAGAGAGAGAGACAGAGAGACAGACAGACACAGAGACTGTTATTAGCAGTCTCTGTGGTTATTAGAGGTTATTAGCCAAACGATTCAGTGCATTTTATGTGGAAATCTTGGATGTGTTACTTCCCTAGAAATAAAGATAATTACTCTTGTTACCATTCGTTGCCAATACTACTCTTACTCTCTGGCTCTAATCTAACTCCTTTATGCCTCTCTCCACTCTGATAGCCCAATATCAATCCCGCACCTCATCACTGTTCTTTTTGAGACCACCATTTGGTCAGATGAGAGAATGGGTTGGGAGATATTGGCACAATAGGGAAACATTTTTTGGGTTCTGGGATTTGTGACCACAACACATGATATGGGCTTAGCTCAAAATGTGGACTTGCTGGGCCAGTCACGGTGGCTTACGCCTGTAATCCCAGCACTTTGGGAGACTGAGGAAGGTGAATTATTTGAGTCAGGAGTTCGAGACCCGCTTGGCCAACATAGTGAGACTCCCGTCTCTACTAAAAATACAAAAATTAACCAGGCATGGTGGTGCATGCCTGGAGTCCCAGCTGAGGTAAGAGAATCGCTTGAACCCGGAAGTGGAGGTTGCTGTGAGCTGAGATTGCGCCACTGCACTCCAGCCTGGGCAACAGAGTGAGACTCCATCTCAAAAAAAAAAAAAAAATGTGGACTTGCTAAGATTTAGAGGCACACGGTCAGGAAGAGTCAAAAAGAAAAATCAGGTAGATAGATCACTGTGACTTTTTGATGAACTCTTTAACTCTTTAAGGACCAATTGTGTAATGGAACAAAATGAATTTCTCAACTCATTTGAATCTGAACATTTCATTAAGCAGTCATAGTTGAGTTGCTAAAACACTGGCCCCATTTACTGAAAACTGTCTGTATAATAGGGTTTATATCCATAACTCAGTTGATACATTTCACATTCTCTATTAGCAGGACTGGAAATGACTACTAAACTAAATCATATTTTTTATTATTATTATATTTTAAGTTTTAGGGTACATGTGCACAACTTGCAGGTTAGTTACATATGTATACATGTGCCATGTTGGTGTGCTGCACCCATCAGCTCATCATTTAACATTAGGTATATCTCCTAGTGCTATCCCTCCCCCCTCCTCTCACCCCACAACAGGCCCCGGAGTGTGATGTTCCCCATCCTGTGTCCATGTGTTCTCATTGTTCAATTCCCATATTTTATATGATTTACTTTATAGTAGTAAATGTGAAATGTGGGGACTGACTCCTCAGTACTATACAGAATATGAGACAGACATTAAAAGACTTCCCACAATGCCCGGCCGCTAGGGTTTGACAACTTGTAATGGAATATCCATAGGCAAACCAGACTTCTGGAGGGTTTTGATGCTTATGCTAAAAGCAAATATAAATTTGTACAAATTCACATCCGGTTATATTCTGTTTTGACACCCGCTACTGAGGGACCATGCATGTATATGAATGAAGATCACCTGCAGATCCTTCCTTCCAGTCATAAGTAGACCTACTGCTATGGGAAAACATTAAGATATGCTCTTCTAACTGGAATATTTCATTAAACAGCTCTTTATAGACAGTCTGAAAGGCAGTGATAATGTGTTTACAGTGATGATTCTGGGGCACTGTAAGATCTTAAAGTACATTCTAAATCTTCAAAATAAAATGTTGGTAGGCTCAGCATAGTTTTAGCATTGCATTTTTTTGTTTGTTTTATTTCTCTTATTCTATGCCATTGAAAATTGGGAGTTCAGGTATGATAACTGAGTTCAGGTAGCAGACTCACTGCTAACCAAGATTATATTAAATCAGACTATTCCACTTTTCAATTCCTTTGTGTAAAAGGACATCCACTGCATTTGATATAATGTTTCTATTTTTCTATATTTTCATCAATCCTTCTGCATTTTAAAGAAATCAGACACTGTGTTCTCCTGAATCTCTCCCTTTTTTTTTTTTTTTTTTTTTTTTACTTAGGGCCTCCAACTGAGGATCCCAGTTAGTTGAATAGTAAATGTGGAGACTCTGGTCAATTTTTGTTGTTGTCGTTAAACCTGATGTCCAATATCAACCCATGAAGCAAAAAGAATTGATAATGTCTTTAATGTGTTTTTAGCATTGTGCTAGGCAATGCTGAAAACTATGAAAATAAAGATAAAACCATTTATTTGTTCATTCATTTGACATATATTTATTGAGCACTTATTATATGCAAGGCAATGTGTTAGCAAAACCAGTTCTTGATTTTCTCTCACAGAGCTTAAACATTGTTGGTAGCAGCAAGGAAACATACATTAATCAAATAATCACATAAATAACTGTCATATTCCAGCTGGTAGAGAGGTCTACAGTACTATGAAAATATTTAAGAGGATAATTTTATGTGGTCTGGGAAGTAAGAGCTCTCTTCTTTCAGATGACATCTGAGGGAAAGTAGATGGTAGAGTTGAAGATGAAAGGTTAAGAATGTGGTAAGTAGAGAAAGGGGCTGTATCAAGATGAAAAATGGCAGTTTTGAGAAAGTGAAAATCTACTGTGGAGGGAGTGCAAAGGCTGTGAGGAAGACACGGGAAATGAGGTAAGAGAGGAAGATATGGTACAAAGGTGGCCCTTTAAGGGGTTTTAAATAGAAATTGGTGAGGTGATGTAACTTTGGTTTATGTGTAGAGAGTTGACAGGTGGGTGCTAAAATGAAAGCAGGAAAATAAAACATACTACTGCAGTAGTCCATGTGAGAGATGATGGCAGTTTTAATGCACTGGCAGTGGAGGAGAGAAGTGCACACATTAGAGAGATATTTAGGAGGCAAAGTTTAAGCTTTTAAAACTACAAAGGTGGTTTTTGAAATGGGTCATACTGGAAAAGATGGAATATTTCTCTTGTGGAGGAGGTGGGTAGGAATAACTTGTATTTCAGACATATTTGCCTTTTAATTACTTACAGTGCCCTTGGGAAAGGTGAGACATACAGTAAAACTATTAAAGTACGAATAAAAACAGTCCATAATAATACTTGCTTGTAGGTGGTTTAGCCTCTAAGTGCGCTGGAAGTGTTGGGAGAAGAGAGTAATGTCTATTGCCCCCTCCATGAGTACATGAATTCAGACTTGACAATGCTGGTGGTGTGGTAAGTTTATTTTACAAGTTAATAGAACCCACAAATGGAATCCAAAACAAGATAAGAATCCACCTATCACTGAAGCTAACTCAGTTCTCCCATGCTAGCTATTGATGTCTGTAATCTTAAAAGATTGGGATTGACAGAAGTGGATGGTTTAAGGCCAATTACATTGACTGAACTCTTGAAACATATCACTCATAAATTTGAAGTTATTTTCTACTAGCAAGTTTCAAGAGGCCTGGAAGTAGCAGTCAGACTAAGTTAAAAAGCAAATACTACCAAAGGTATCAAGTTCTCAGCAAACACTCACCCACAGTAAGTCTTGATTGCCCTCTCTGGGAACCATGGCCATATGAAAGTATCCCAAATCTAAAAATAAATATCTCCAGGCAGCTCTATCTCAATTTATCCCATTTGGGGATTATCCTTCAGAAAATATAATATTATTGATGAAAATGAGCCCAGGAAACGATGATGGTGAGAATAACAGAAGAATGAATCATTGTTTGCCTTACTATTCTTCTGAATGAAATAATTATTTGATTATATATTCTCGATTATTCCAAAGCTTCTTATAAAAGTCAAGTATTCTGTATTTATAAAGTAGAGAGGTTAGAAATTAAATGGCTTATTGATCATTAAATACTTCATTGAGATGAATAATATTTTTTCAATAGTTGGTTAGAAAACACACTTACCATTTGAAATTGTTTTGAATTTCATTAGATTTAATTTTTTTGATATAAATAACATTTCTGTCACCTTCCTGTACCCTCCCTTCCCCATTAAAAAAGCAACACAACCACAACAAAACTTTTCTTATCCCTTGTTAATAATAGATATGCTAGATATGGAAATTGTTAGTACAATGTTTTATCAAGGCCAGAATTATTTTTCTGACAAGAGCATTTATCTCAGTGTCATTTTATAGAAAAATCTGGATGATCTTACTGCTTTAAACCTAAATTTGAACTGATCCAACACCTAAGTAGACCACATATTAAGTACACTATATTCATTGATTAAAACAATTTCTTCCCGGTACTTATTTCTCCTTCAAATTTTGATTCCCTGACTAATTGATTTCAGGACACAGCATGGACATTTTGTAGCTCTGAGGAGCAGATTTGTAAATTATTTTTTATTGTCACAGTAGCTTGTTGTTGTTTACCTTTAGATAACAATTTCTGAAGGGAATAAAATGCCAAAATAGGCATGGCTGGATATTACTTTGCAATATTAATTTAATCCCCTTTGCTGTCCTCATATTTAATTTCCCTATCTCTGGGGAAGTATGTGGCATGGAGTTGTCTGAGAATTTCCAGCTTTGTTTTTAAAATACTAATCTGTGGGAGATGGTAAGATTTGCAGAAACACTTTGAAGTTATTTTTGACATATTCTTTTGGTTTCTCTCATAGCCCACATCCCAATCCATCGGGTAAGCCTGTTGGCTATATCATCAGAATATATCAAGAATCTGACCACTTTCATCTCTTACTCTGCTGCAATTCTAGTCGGAGCCACCATAATCTATTCTCTGGATGACGTCAATAAACCACAAAGTGGTCTACATTTTTCTCTTCACCCCCCACCCCTGCCCCGAGTAGTTTATTCTCAACACAGTGGCCAGAGTGATACTTCAAAAATGTAAATTATATTATTGCTGTGCTCTGAACTGTCTAGTTCAAGGGTTCTTAACCTTTTTTATATCATGAAGCCTTTTGGTAGTCTAGTGAAACTCCTTGATCCCTCCTCAGGATATTTTAAAATGCATACAATTAAAAATTCAAAATAACCAAAGATTTTGAAATACAGTAGCCAACATATTTTTAAAAATAAATTTATAATGTTATCTTTTCTCCTTAGAAGTAAAAGAATGTTGAAAATAATATAGGGTGTGCTGAAAGAGAGTTGAGAGAGGAAACAAAGAAGAAAAGGGAACAGGTGTGTATACAAGAATGAGTTGAGAAAGCATGATGAGGGTAGGGTCTCATGATCCACCCACTCTGGGCTGGACAAATTTCATGGGTTCAGAAATGGGTTGGAAAGGGTGATTTGGGTTAGAACAAACAACATACTGGAGGCAATAAATATCTACATAGATTTCTTAGTTAATATATGTGTTTCTTAATGAATACATTAATTAACAAGATTTAGAGGCAAGTCTAATAACTACCATAATTTTAAGCAGTAATAAGTGTGAATAATATGTGGAGATGTCTATAAAAACTGTATAAAATATGATATGAAACTATTTGTGATTTTTCTTGATGACAAAATTACAGGTACTGTTAATACTACTGAGATTTATTGCTACATTTGTAATAGAAGAAAATGCAAAATTTAAGTTAGCAGTTAGTGAAAATAAAGATGTAATTGTTTTTTTGCCAAGGTTCACAGGCCTCCTGAATTTTATTCAAATACTCTCAGGGAGGAAATCTTGCAATGTGATGGATCGAGAGAGTGGTGATGGAAACCCCACAGCAGCTCTGAATTCTGATCCTGCTTGGCTGCTTACTGGTTGCCCAATGGTGAGAATATTCCTCAGGTCTTCTGAGCTTTCATCTTATTCCAAAAGAAGGTCGTAAGTACTCCCTTTAAGTTTGCTTCTGAGAATATATAAGTTTAAATGTAAAAATTCCTAATACAGTTTAAATATTAAATTGTCTCTCAAAAAATATTATCCGGGTGAAGAACCTCTGCTCTAGTGTCTTCCCATCTCACTCAGAGTAAAAGCTAACTTCTTTAATAGGATTTATAAGCCCTTATATGATCTACTCTTTTTTTCTAATTTCTATTCTGTTATTCTATCCCTCAGTCACTTTACTCTTGCCACGGTAGGCTCTTTGAACATACTAGGCATGCTCCCACCTTAGAATTTTGGCACTGGCTGTTTTATGTTGTTTTTCTTTTCATTATTGATTTATGGCAGCTCTTTTTATATTCTAGATAGAAGTCCTTTGTCTAATATATGTCATAAAAATATTTTCTTCCTGTCTATGGCTTGCCTTTTCATTTTCTTAGCAGCCTCTTTTAAAAATCAAACATACTCAGAGGTAGGAAAACTTCAAAATTGGAAAAGAGGATGGTTTTGTTGGTACATACAACATATATAGGGAAATTGTGAGAGAGGAGATTGAAAGGGTAGAACACAACTATGCTTCTTGAAATGCATTATACCACTTTTAATGTCCTATTCTAAGTGTTGGGATCAAAAAACCAATCTACACGTTAGATAAATATGACCCCTACTATTAATGTTAATTTTCCCAGGCCCCAACCCCCCTTGGAAGCAGAAAGAGTAAGAGTTTCAGAGGGTTCAAATATAGGCTCTACCATGTATTAACTGTCTAACTTTAGAACAGTCATTTAACCTATTTGGACCAATACTTTTTTTGTAATCTAAAATGGAAGTGGAGTTGAGTGATAACACCTATACTATTGGGTTGTTGGGAGTATAAGTGAGATTGTATGTATGAAAGCACATAGCAAAGTATTTGACATATAGTATGTTCTCAATCTAATTTCCATTCCTTTTCTTCCATTAAGCCACAGGCATGCTTTAGTCAGTAACAAAATTTCTATACAGACATGTTACTTGTCAGCCTCTTACCAGTTTGTGCCCTCTCCTTTTGCAGTTTCTCAGCCCAAGTTTTGGAATGGCTCTGAAAACAGACAGGCTAAGTCAATTTGACGGGCTATGTTTTTGTTTATTTATACCCATAGCTCATTAAGATAATGCACAAATATTTTATTCAGGAGGTCAAGGGTTTGAAGAGGCAGGTAGGCCCTCTTGATCCTGGCTGGTCACGTGATAAAGTAAGACCTTATTTAGAAGACTAGATGTGGCAATGAAGGTGGTTTCCTGCAAACACATTGCTACTATTGGAGAAAAAATATTCAAAGCACATGTTTTACTTTGGGTGGGCCAAGTGTGTCAGTTTTGTGTGCAAAGTCAACCTGTTATGATTCTAACCTAGAAAATATGCCTGGAAATATAATTGCTTTTAAAGTCATAGTACTTGGGATTTGTGTATTTCTCATTTATAATGTTTAATAGTTAACCTTCCCAGAACACTTTCTATGTGCCTGGCTCTATACTAGGCTTTTTTCCATATATAATTACAATCTTTTTTCAACTTTTATTTTAACTTCAAGGGTACATGTGCAGGTTTGTTATATAGTAAACTCATATCATGGGTGTTTGTTGTATAGATTATTTTGTCACCTATGCATTAAGCCTAGGACTGCTTAGCTATTTTTCCTGATCCTCTCCCTCCTTCCACCTTTCACTCTCTGGCAGGCCACAGTGTCTGTTGTTCCCCTCTATGTGTCTATGTGTTCTCATCATTTAGCTCCCACTTATAAGTGACAGTATGTGGTATTTGGTTTCCTGTGCTTGCATTAGTTTGCAAAGGATAATGGCCTCCAGTTTCATTCATGTTCCTACAAAGAATATAATCTAATTATTTTTTATGGCTGCATAGTATTCTATGGTGTGTACTTACCACATTTCCTTTATCCATTCTACAACTGATGAGCATTTAGGTTGAGTCCATGCTTTTGCTATTGTGAATAGTGATAGAATGAACATATGCAGCATGTGTCTTTATGATAGAATGATTTATATTCTTTTGGGTATATACCCAGCAGTAAGATTATGATAATGGTAGTTCTTTCTTTAGGTCTTTGATGTATTGCCAAACTGTTTTGCACAATGGTTGAACTAATTTACACTCCTGCCAACAGTGCATAAGTGTTCTCTTTTCTCTACAACTTTGCCAGCACCTATTAGTTTTAGACTTTTAAATAACAGCCATTTTGACTGGTGTGAGAAAATATCACACTGTTGTTTTGATTTAAATTTCTGTAATGATCAGTGATGTTGAACTTCTTTTCATATGCTTTTTGGCCACACGTATGTCTTCTTTTGAAAAGTGTCTGTTCATGTCCTTTGCCCACTTTTTTATAGGGTTGTATGTTTTATTTATTTTATTGTAGATTTGTTTAAGTTCCTAATAGATGCTGGATATTAGACCTTTGTCAGATGCATAGTTTGCAAAAAAATTCTCCTATTCTGTAGGTTGTTTACTTTTAATAGTTACTGTTGCTGTGACAAAGCTCTTTAATTAGATCCCACTTACCAATGTTTGCTTTTGTTGCAACTGCTTTTGGCATCTTCGTCATGAAATCTTTGCCAGGTCCTATTTCCAGAATGGTATTGCTTAGGTTGTCTTTCAGGGTTTTCAGTTTGGGGTTTTACATTTAAGTCTTTAATCCATCGTGAGTTGATTTTTGTATATGGTGTAAGGGAGGTTTGCTGTTTGAATCTTCTGCATACAGCTAGCCTGTTATCCCAGCACAATTTATTGTACAGGGAGTTCTTTTCCCATTTCTTGTTTTTGTCAGCTTTGTCAAAGATCAGATGGCTGCAGGTGTGTGGCTTTATTTGTGTGCTCTCTCTTCTGTTTCATTTGTTTCTGTGTCTGTTTTTGTACTAGTATCATGCTGTTTTAATTACTGTAACCCTGTAGTATCATTTGAAGTCCTATAGTGTTATACATCCAGCTTTGTTCTTTCTGTTTAAGATTGCCCTGCTATTCAGGCTCTTTTTTGGCTCCATGTGAATTTAAAAATAGTTTTTTCCTAGTTCTATGAAGCACGTTATTGGTACTTTGATCAGATTAGCATTGAATCTATACATTGCTTTGGACAGTATGGACATTTTAATGATAGTATAATTACAATGTTAACCTGATAAAGCAAATACTCACACTTCATCATTTTACAAATGAGGAGACTAGGGCTCAAAGATATTAAGTAAATTGTCTATGCTTATAACAATTGTAGGTGGTTAAGACAGTATGTGAATCAGGTAATTTTACTTTAGAACCCAAATGCTCAACTAGTATGCCAGAGCAATAAGAAATACTTCAACTGGATATTACCTAGATATCTACCATTTATTACTGTTTTAGATGTGGCTTTAGCACAGGTTTGTCACATCCAACTTTTCTTGGTTTCAGATCCAACTTTGTAGGCCAATCATAATCTTTGTACCTGTTTCCTTACCTAAAATTCGGAAAATGTGTAACTACCTTACAGGATTATTTTAATAATCAAATGAAATCATTTAATTTGTATCAGGTAATATGGTATATACCAGACAATATGATTTGTGCCAGATAAAATATTTTATTGCATTTAATATTTTAAAATAACAATGATAATAATTATAATAGTACTTGGTATTTACCATTTGATTACTATTAATTTTGGATCAAAGCTGTCTTGTAACTGACCATATGTTCTCCTTGTAAATGGTTCTGTTTCCAGCAGCAAAACTTGATGTACTCCTTTCAGGCCATGTCCTAATGTGCTTAAGGAACAACAGTGATGCCAGAGTAGATGGAGTACAGTGAGTAAGGTAGGGTGTGGTAGGAAGATGAGAGAGAGAGAGAAGCAGCTAAGAATTCTGTAGAGAATGGATTATAGGGAAACAGAGTGGCAACAGGGACAATAGTCAGGCAGCTATTACAGTAATTACTTCCCTTTCTTCTTTTCCTTATGTAATCATGGCATGATTTTTATTCCACTTAGAAGTTTTCTATGTCAAATTCAAAAGAATTAATAAAGTTATCAAATTATCCAGTAAAGCCAGTGATTGAGATTCATGAGGCTTTTCCCATATGGTGTGGGAGATATTTTATTCAAGTGAATATTAGAACCAGTTAATTTTTTTCTAGAATCATATATGCATTACCATTGTCATTAATTATTTTTCTAGGATACCATCACCTGAACCAGGCAAATGGTTGCTAGATTATACTCCTCTGCAGCCTCCACAGCATACATTTGAAGGGTGTCCAAGGCTACAGAAAGGGCTATTTATAAATTATTGGTCTGGGCCTTAATCAATAAAGAAGCTTACCATAGAATTTTACTTTTTTAAGTGAATGATCCACTGCTATACTTAATGTAATTGCCTTTTATTTAATCCTTTACCCATTACCTACTGTGGGAACTGTGAGCAAGATATTTAGCTTCTCCCTTATTCAGTACTTTGAAATGTAAATTGTCTATTTCCTAGTCATCTGTTTGTTTGCTTTCTAAAAGGATTAAATAAATAAGTCTATGTAAAGTGTATAGAACAGTGTCTAGTACTTAGTAAGCACTCAATAAGTCTTTCTTCTTCATTCAGTATCCTGGTGTTTAGCTTTTGTTAAACATTTTATTCATGGAAACTGTATTATTTCACTTTTACACTAGTGTAAAGAACTGCCCCGGACTGGGTAAAAATATAAATAAAAGAGGTTTAATTGACTCACAGTTCCTCATTACTGGGGAGGCCTCAGGAAACTTACAATCACAATGGAAGAGGAAGCAGTCAAATCTTACATAGCAACAGGAGAGAGAGAGCATATGTGAGTGCAGGGAAAACTACCATTTATAAGACCATCAGATTTCATGAGAATTTACTCATTATCAAGGGAACAGCATGGGAGAAACTGTCCCCATAATCCAAACACTTCCCTCCCTCAATCCATGGGGATTCCAGTCCCTCCCTTTACACATGGGGATTATAATCTGAGATGAGATTTGGGTGGGGACAGAGAGTCAAACAATACTCTTCTGCCCCTGCCCACCCACAAATCTTATGTCTGTTCACATTTTAAAACCAATTATGCCTTCCCAACAGTCTTCCAAAGTCTAAACTTATTCCAACACCAACCCAAAAGTCCAAGTTCAAAGTCTCATCTGAGACAAGGCAAGCCCTTCCCCCTAGAAGCCTGAAAAACTAAAAGCAAGTTAATTATTTTCAAGACACAGTGGGGGTACAGGCATTGGATAAAAGCTCCCATTCCAAATAGGAGAAATGAGCCAAAAAAGGGGTTACAGGTCTTATGCAAGTCCCAAATCCAGTAGGGCAGTCATTAAATGTTAAGGCTCCAAAATAATCTCCTTTGATTCCATGTCTCACATTCAAGTCACACTGATGCAGAGGATGGGCTCCCATGGCCTTGGGCAGCTCTTCCCCTGTGGCTTTGCAGGGTATAACCCCCATCCCCTCACTGTGGCTGCTTTCACAGCTGGTGTTGAGTGTCTGTGGCTTTTCCAGGCACACAGTGCAAGCTATTGGTGGATTTATCATTCTGGGGTCTAGAGGATGGTGACTTTCTTCTAACAGCTCCTCTAAACTATGCCCCAGTGGGGACTCTGAGTGGGGTCTCCAAACCAACATTTCCCCTTTGCACTGCCCTAGCAGAAGTTCTCCATGAGGTCTTCACTCCTGCAGCAGACTTTGGGGTGGATATCTAGGCATTTCCATACATCCTCTGAAATCTAGACCAAGGTTCTCAAACCTCAATTCCTGTCTTCTGTGCAACCACAGCCCCAACACCATGTAGATGCTGCCAAGGCTTGGGGCTTGCACCCTTTGAAGCAACAGCCCAAGCTGTACCTTGGCTCCTTTTAGTTACGGCTGGAGGTGTAGCAGCTGGACACAGGGCAACAAGTTTTGAGAATACACAGAGCATGGGGGCCCTGGGCCTAGCCCACAAAACCATTTCCCCTCCTAGGCCTCTGGGTCTGTGATGGGAGGGGCTGTTGTGAAGGTCTGTGACATACCCTGGAGACATTTTCCCCCTTGTGATTAACATTTGGCTCCTCATTACTTATACACATTTCTTCAGCCAGCCTGAATTTCTCTCCAGAAAATTGGTTTTTATTTTCTATCTTATCACCAGGCAGAAAATTTTCCAAACTGTTCCAACCTCTTTCTGATACCCATTTCCAAAGTCATTTCCACATTCTCTGGTATCTTTATAGCAGTACCCCACCCTCGGTACCAATTTACTCTATTAGTTCCTTTTCACACTGCTATAAAGAACTGCCTGAGATATGGTAATTTATAAATAAAAGAGGTTTAATTGACTGACAGTTCCTCATGGCTGAGGAGGCCTCAGGAAATTAACAATCATGGTGGAAGGGGAAGTAGGCACATCTTACATGTCAGCAGGCAAGACAGAGCATGTGTGAGTGCAGGAAAAACTACCATTTATAAAACCATCATATCTAATGAAAATTCACTCAGTATCACAAGAACAGCATGGGGGAAACTGCCACCATGATCCAATCACTTCCTTCCCTTGACACATGGGGATTACAGTTCATCTTTAGACACATGGGGATTACAATCTGAGATAAGATTTGTGTGGGGACATAGAGCAAAACCATATCAAATAACGATTCTGTTTACTTTTTAAAACTATTAATTGGTTACTTTTGTGTAATGTATATTTCGCTATGCATTGTGGATAAAAAAAGATGGCACATTCACTTTTTAAAGAAAAGACTCATAATGAGGAATGTAGACATGTAAACAAAAACTCCAAAGGTAGTGAATGCTAGAAATTCATAGGCAAATTATAGAGTGTTAATAATAAACCTAAGCTATGAATCCCATCCTAGGGTTTGTATATTCTAGGCAAGTGAATCCTATCAGATTGTGATTCCCATAATTCCTCAACTTTTCAAAGAATATACATCTTTTGTTAAGTTTGGTGAGTTGCTTAGTGGCAAAGGAGCAAGTTCACTTCTTTATGCCAATAAATTTTGCAAGATTCAGTGCCATTGTTGTCTTCATTGAAATAGTACATAGACTTGTGTACATTTTAAAGGAATATTTCAGCTTCTTCCATGACTTACAGATGGCTAACATCAGTACAATGACTAATTGGTAATTCCTCCCAAGGGGCTAAATAAAGCTCATCATTCACTTAAAAAACTGCTCGACATGTATGTCTTGATTCCATCTTCGAATGTTTTTGTTCTTCCAAAAGGGTCAATATGCACTTGGCAGTCTTTTCTACCAGAGGAACATGAAATCATAAAGAATCTTTCTCACCAAACACTTAAAAGATAATAAAATGGTAAATTGACATGTGTAAATGTCATTAGGTATCTTTTGGACAAAAAGTACAAAACATTCAGGATGAATACTAATGAGGCTAAATAAAAAATATAATATGTAAGTGTATGATGCAGAAACTGGGGGATGAGTAGCTTTTTCCCTAAAGAAAATGTTTAGTCATTATCTGATCACTAAACTAACCAAGCAGAGACTTCAGTGGACACATACAATAAAGAATACAGGCTTTATAGAATTATTCCAAGAAGTCACTAAAAAAACAGCAGCAATAACAAAAAGAATAAGAAAGAGCAATAACAACTAATTTGGTGGCTGTGTTATAATTTTTCTAGTTGCTGCATTATATTGCCACATCATATTTTAAACATCCAGTTTTCAAGAAAGAAAACCTTATGAGTCAGAAAAAAAAACAAGAAATGATATAGCTCATACACAGAAAAATAACCAATAGTCAATAGAAACTGTCCTTTTGGAAGCTCAGATTTTGAACTTACTAAACAAGGACATTAAATCAGATATTACAATGTGTTTAAGGAAGTAAAGGAAGCCATTTTCATTGAATTAAAGAAAAGTATGAGGATAACATCACACCTACTAGCGATCAATAAACAGACAGAAGCTTTAAAAAAGAACCAAAGAGAAATTCTAGAGTTGCAAAGTACAGTTACTGAAATAAATAAATAAATTTTAAAAAACCCACTAGATAGGCTCAAGAGCAGATTTGTACTGGTAAAAAAAGAATTAGCAGACCTAAAAATAAGTTGAGTTTATCTTTTTATTTATTTATTTATTTTTTTTTTTTGAGACGGAGTCTCGCTCTGTCGCCCAGGCCGGACTGCGGACTGCAGTGGCGCAATCTCGGCTCACTGCAAGCTCCGCTTCCCGGGTTCACGCCATTCTCCTGCCTCAGCCTCCCGAGTAGCTGGGACTACAGGCGCCCACCACCGCGCCCGGCTAATTTTTTGTATTTTTAGTAGAGACGGGGTTTCACCTTGTTAGCCAGGATGGTCTCGATCTCCTGACCTCATGATCCACCCGCCTCGGCCTCCCAAAGTGCTGGGATTACAGGCGTGAGCCACCGCGCCCGGCCTTATTTATTTTTTTGAGGAACAACAAAAGAATGAATAGAAATGAGCAAAGCCTAAAATACCTGTGAGATACCATGAAGTGTACTAACATATCCATAATGGGAATTCCATAGAAGGAATGGGATATTTAATAATAATAGAAGGATCATCTCAGCAGGAACATATATAGATCATATCACATAGTAATAGATTCCCCAAATACAAACAGAAACTAAATTGAAAAGAGAAACACAAATCAACAATAATATTTGGAGACTTCAATGCATTATCTCAATAATTGGTAGAAAAACTAAACAGAAAGTTAGCACAGAGTTGTATTTTGAATAACCACTCCATCCAACAACACAGGAATATATAGATTTTTTTCTCAAGCAAATATGGAATGTTTTCCAGGATAGACCAAACACTGTGTCATAAAATAAGTATCGATAAATTTAAATGATCAAAATCATACAAAGTAACTCTATAGCCACAATGGAGTATGATAAAAACTCAAAAAGCAAAACACAATTTAGAAAACCCACAGCTATTTGGAAATTAAGCAACATATTTCTTTTTTATTATTTTATTTCAAATTGAAAGAAAATTTTATGTATTTATCACATATAACATGGTATTTTGAAGCATATATACAGTGTGGAATTACTAAATTTAGCTAATTAACATATGCATTACCTCACATAGTTATCATTTTTCTGGTGAGAACAGTTATCTACTCTCTCAGCACTTTAGTTTTTTTTTAGCATTTATTTTAGTTTTAGGGGTAAATTGGCAGGCTTGTTATATAGATGAATTAAATATCCCAGGCTGAGGATTGAAAAACTACCTCTCAGGTACCATGCTTATTACCTGGGTGATGAAATACTTTATAGTTTTCAGTCTAGAGATCTTTCACCTCTTTGGTTAAATTAACTCCTAAAATTTTTATATTTTTGTAACTATTGTAAATGAGATTGTTTTTAATTTTTCTCAGATAGTTTACTGTTAGTGTGATAAAAATGCTACTGATTTTTGTATGTTGATTTTGTGTTTTGTTTTTATTTTTTAAAATTTTTTGGTTCTGTGGGTAAATAATAGTGTACATATGGGGAACATGAGATGTCTTATATAGGCATGCAAAGCATACTAATCCCGTCATGGAGAGTGAGGTATCCATCCTCTCAAGCATTTATCCTTTGTGTTACAAACAATCCAGTTATATCCTTTTAGTTATTTTAAAATATACAATCAAATTATTATTGATTATGGTCGCCTTGTGCTTTCAAATAGTAGGACCCTTCCCAAACTCTGGTAACCATCCTTCTACTCACTAGGTCAATGAGTTGAATTGTTTTAATTTTTAAATCCCACAAATAAATGAAAACATATGATGTTTCTCTTTCTGTATCTGGCTTATTTCACTTAATATAATGATCTCCAATTCTATCCATGTTGCTGCAAATGATAAGATCTCATTATTGTTTATGACTAAAGTGTACTCCATTGTTTACATGAAGCACATTTTCTTTATCCATTCATCTGTTGATGGAAACTTAGATTGCTTCTAAATCTTGGCTATTGTAAGCACTGCTGCAGCAAACATGGGAATTCAGATATCTATTCAATAAATTGCTTTACCTTCTTTTGGGTATATACCTAGCAGTGAGATTGCTGGATTGTATAGTACCTCTATTTTTCAGTTTTATAAGCAACCTCCAAATTGTTCTTCATGGTAGTTATATTTATTTACATTCCCACCAACAGTGTTTGGGGCTCCCTTTTCTCCACATCCTAGCCACCATTTGTTACTGCCTGCCATTTAGATATAAACCTTTTTAACTGGGATGAGATGATGTCTCATTGTAGATTTTCTTTGCATTTCTCTGATGATCAGTGATGGCGACCACATTTATATATCCCTATTTGCCATTTGTACATCTTCTTTTGAGAAATGTCTGTTCAAATCATTTGCCAACTTTTTTGTCGTATAATTATAGTTTTTTCCTTCAAAGTTGATTGAGTCCTTATATATTCCAGTTATTAATTCCTTGTAGAATGGGTAGTTTGCAAATACTATCTCCCATTCTGTGGGTTGTCTCTTTACTTTGTTGATTGTTTCCTTTGCTGTGCAGAAGCTTTTTAACTTGAGGTTATTCCATTTGTTCATTTTTGATTTGTTGCCTGTGCTTGTGCGGTATTGCTCAAGAAATTTTTACCCAGACCAATGTCCTGCAGATTTTCCCCAATGTTGTCTCATAGTAGTTTCATAGTTTGAGGTCTTAGATTTAAGTTTGCATAAACAAACAAACAAGTAAAAAGAAAACTAATAAAAATTCTACTACTTCATTCCCCCACTTTTTAACTTTTTGTTGTTTCTATTTATACCTTATCGTCCTGACTATGTCTTGAAAAGTTGTTGAAGTCATTATTTTCCATTGTTTCATCGTCTATTCTTAGTTAATATAAAAGTAGTTTACACACCTCATCTACAGCGTTATAATGCTCTGTGTTTTCCTGGGCACTTACTATTACCAGTGAGTTTTGTACTCTCAGGTGAATATTTGTTGCTCATTAATGTCCTTTACTTTCTGATAGAAGTACTCCTTTTAGCATTTTTTTTTTAACTTTCTGATCTTTCTGATTGAAGTACTCCTTTTAGCATTTTTTTTTTTTTTTTTTTTTTTTTTTTGTAGCTCATGCCTGGCATTCACGTAATTCCTCAGCTTTTGTTTATCTGGGAAAGTCTTTATTTCTCCTTCATTTGAAGAATATTTTCAAGAATAATTTGAAAAATATTTTCATCGGATATACTATTCTAGGGTAAAAGTTTTTTTTTCTTTCTGCACCTAAATTACATCATGCCACTCTCTGCTGGCCTGTAAATTTACCACTGAATGACTGCTGCCAGACATATAAAATCTCCATTTTATGTTGTTTGCTTATTTTCTCTTGCTGCTTTTAGGATCCTTTCTTTATCCTTTTTCTTTTGGAGTTTGATTATTAAATGCCTTAAGGAAGTCTTCCTTGGGTTAAATCTGCTTGGTGTTGTATAATCTTCTTGTACTTCAGTATTGGTCTCTTTTTCTGGGTTTTGGAAGTTCTCTGTTACTATCCCTTCGAAAACATTTTCTGCCCCTATTTCCTTCTCTACTTTCGCCTTAACACCAAAAACTCAGAATTTCCCTTTTGAGGCTATTTTCTGGATGCTGTAGGTGTGCTTCACTGTTTTTTTCTTCTTTTCTCTTTTGTATCCTCTGACTGCATATTTTTAAATAGCCTGTCTTCAAGCTCACTAATTATTTCTTCTGCTTGACCAATTCTGCTATTAAAAGACTATGATGTATTCTTCAGTATGCCAGTTGCATTTTTTGAGCTTCAGAATTTCTGCTTGATTCTTTTTAATTTTCTAATTTTCTTCATTAAATTTATCTGATAGAATTCTGAATTCCTTATTTGTGTTATCTTGAATTTCTTTCAGTATCCTCAAAAAGTCTATTTTGAATTCACTTCTGAAAAGTCATATATCTCCGTGTTTTTTAGGACTGGTTCCTGGTGCCTCATTTAGTTCATTTGTTTAGCTCAAGTTTTGCTGAATTGTCTTTACACTTGTAGATGTTTGTCTGGGTCTCTACATTGAAGAGTGTGGTATTTATTTTAGTCTCCTTAGTTTGGGCTGGTTTATGTCTCTTCTTCTTTGGAAGATATTCCAGCTATTCTAAAGGACTTGCGTGTGGTAATCTGAGCTGCATCTGATTTAGGAAGTACTCCAAGCCCAGTAATGCTGTGGTTCTTGCAGACTCATAGAGATATACCTTGATGGTCTTGGATAAAATCCAGGTGAATTCTCTGTATTATCAGGCAGAGACTCTTGTTTTCTTATCTTACTTTCTCTGAAACATATGGGATCTGTCTCTCTCTCTCTCTCTCTCTCTCTCTCTCTCTGTTCTGAGCCATCTGAAGCTGGGGTTGGAGTGACACAAGAACCTCTGTGGCCACCAACACTGTGATTGTGCTGGATCATACCTGAAGCCAGCAGAGCACTGAATCTCACCCAAGGCCTGCTGTAACTACTCCTTGGCTACTGCCTATGTTTGCTCAAGGCTCTGGGGCTCTATGTCAGCAGGTGGCAAAGCCATCTAGGCCTGTGTTCTTCCCTTCAGAGCAGCGAGCTACCTCAGGACCCAGGCAATCCCAAGGCGATGTCCCGGAGCCATGGACTAGAGTCAAAAACCTTAGAATTCTACATTGTTCTCTTGTACTGCAGCTGAGCTGGCACTTCAACCACAAAATGCGGTCCTTCCCACTCTTCCCATCCCTTTTAAAAGGCAGAGGAACCTCACCTGGTGGCCACCATTTCCACAGGCCCATGGGGAGTATGGCTAGACTACAGCCGATGTTCCATTAAGGCCCAAGGACTCTTTAGTTAGCCTGTGATTAGTGATGCCCATTCTGGGTCTTACACTTCAGGGCAGTCGGCTCCCTTCTGATCCAAGGCAGGTCCAAAAATGCTGTCCAAGAGCCAAATCCTGGAATTAGGGACCTCAAGAGCCCACTTGGTGCCATACCAAACTCTGGCCGAGCTGGCACCTATACGCAAGACAAAGTCCCCTTTATTTTTCTCTCTGCTTTTCTCATGCAAAAGAAGTCTTGCCCCACAGCTGTCACAGCTGGAAATGTGCTGAGTCTCACCTGAAGGCAGCAAGTCTCAGAGTCTCATCCAAATCCCTTGATATAGTACCTGGGTATTACTGCTGGTTTTTCAGGGCCCAACTGTCTCTTCAGTTAGTAGGTGATGAATGCTGCCAGGACTGGTTCCTTCCCTTCAAGGAAGTAGGTTCCCTTCTGGCCCATGGTGTGTCTAGAAATATCATCTTGGAGCTAAGCCCTGGAAAAGGGGTTTTGTGATTCTGATAAATGCCCTATCCTGCTGTGGCTGAGCTGCTATCCAAGATGCAAGACAAAGTCCTCCCTACCTTTCTTCTCCTCTCCTCAAGCAAAAGGAAGGAGTCTCTGTTGGAGCCACAAGTTGTGCTGTCTGGAGTTAGAGGAGGGGTGATGCCAACACTCCCTTAGCCACCCCAGCTTGTGTCTTTTTATATTGTGCCATCCCACCCTATACCCCAGTCTACTGGCTCTGGTCCCAGTTCAGCAATAGGACTTGCCTAAAAGTTGCAGTATTTGTGGCCTAGACTGCCTTTCAAGTTTATTTAGAGCCCCAGAGAACTTTGGCCCACGGTACTAAGGCTTGTGGGACCTCAAGTTCAGACCTCTGAGACTGGTGATTCTCCTCTGGCTAGGGCTAGTTTAAATGCTCCGTGTGTGGGAAGGCATTATCTGAGTTTGTTTCAATCTTGCATTCTGCTATAACAAGTGCAGCACTGAGTTCAATGCCTCACAGTTCCTACTCTCTCCCTATCCCAGTGCACAGAAATGGTCTCAGCATCATGCTGCCACTGCCAGGGGCATGGGAAAGGGGTGGCATCAGTGATTAAAGACTCTTTTTGTCTACCTTTTGAGTGCCTCTTTCAGTGATACAAAGTTGAAACCAAGTACTGTGAGTGCTCACCTGATTTTTGGTTCTTATGAAGGTGTGTTTTATTTTCTGTGTAGATAGTTGTTAAATTGGTGTCCTCATGGGAGGATGATCAGTGGAGCCTTCTATTCTGCCATCTTTCTCTGCCTCTTCCTCACATGTTCTTTTTTACAGAAGCAGTCAATGAGAGAAAGAAGTGTATGTTGGTTTTGTATCCTGCAACTTTACTGAATTTGTTTATTAGTTCTAAATTTATTTCATGGAGTTTTAAGGGGTTTCTAAATATATGATTATGTCTCTAAACAGGGACAATTTAACTTCTTTCCAATTTGAATGACTTTTATTTCTTTCTCTTATCTAATTGCTCTGGTTAGGACTTTCACTGCAATGTTGAATAGAAGTGGTGAAAGTCGGCATCTTTGTCTTGTTCTGAATCTTAGAAAGAAAGCTTTTCCTTGTTGTGATGTTAGCTATGTGTTTGTCATATGTGGTCTTTATTGTGTTGAGGTACATTCTTTCTATATCTAATTTGTTGAGTGTTTTTAATCGTAAAAATATTGAATTTTGTCAAATGCTTTTTTCCTCATCTATTGAAATTATATTATGGTTTTTGTGCTTCATATAGTTAATCTGATGTATTGCATTTATTGAATGAGCAATGTATTTCTAAATAGTTCCTTGGTCAAGTAATAAATTATAAGGGAAATTCAAATTTCGAGCTGCATAAAAATAAAAACACAACATATAAAAATTTTTGGAGTGCAGCTGAAATGCTTAGATGAAATTTTATACATTTAAATGCCTAAATTAAAAGAGAAGAATGATATCAAGTTAATAATATTATGTATCACCTTAAAAATCTAGAAAAAGAAAGACTAACAAAACTAATGACAAAGCTCATGGGAGGAAAGTAATAAAGATAAGGACAGAAAATTGTTACATTAAAATAGAATAATACAGAGAAATAAATAAAATCAAAGTTAGTTTTTTTGAAAAGATAAGCAAAATTGACACACCTTTAAACAGATAAACCATGAGAAAAAGAGGAAAGACACAGATGCTGGGAACTAGGAATGTGAGAAGGGACATTACCACTGACCCCTGAGGAATTAAAATGATTATAAGAGAATGCAATGAAAAACTTTATGTCAACACATTTCACAACTAAGATGAAATAGACAAATCCTTAGTAAGTCACAAATTAACAAGAAGACCCACTGAAGATGAAATATGAATTTAGAATAAAAATGTAACAAATGAAAAAATTACTAGTTAAAAATCTTTTCACAAAGACAGACTTACACCCAGATGTGAATTTTATTAAAGATTTAAACAAACAATAATCCCAATATTTTATTAACTCTTTCAAAAATGTAGGAAGTCGAAATATCCTTCAACTCACTCTATGAGACAATTATCAGCATCACAACAAAACCAGACAAAGATAACTACATAAATGTAGCTCCCATAAATGTAGATGTAAAATAATCCTGAAAAATATTAGCTTACCAAATCCAAAACACGTAACAAAGATTACATATGATGATAAAGTGAGATTTGTCCTAGGAATGCAAGGTTGGTTTAACATCCAAAAATAAATTAATATAATACATCATATTAATATAATGAAGTGCACAAATAACAACCATTTTAATAGATTAGGAATATGCAGTTAACAGAATGGAACATTCATTTCTGATCAAAATTCTTACAGAATTGGAACAGAAGAAAAGTTTTATCAATCTGATAACAATTGTGCCCTTTGTTATTTTGAAATCTACTTAAACTTTTCTGATGCAGTTATTCAATAAGTTGAAATAAAATTAACATAATGTAAGCTTTAACAAAGAAAGGTTGAAGCAGGTTAAAGTGCTATAGTGGTTCAGAAAAAAATGAAATTTATTTTAATTTTGAGTCATATAAGGTTTTGTTTCTTAATAATGAGGAAGCCAGAAAGTTTAGACAGTAATCAACACTTTTCACCTTCTAAAATTAGAGGTCCCTTACAAGGGATCTTAGGTTGGGGAAAATGCCAAAGTGTGACAACAAAAGAAATGGTCCCTAATCTCTCACCTTGTCCTCACATTACAGCCTTGTGACTTCAGGACCTATGCATCTCTCAGATGTTGTGTGGAGGAGTCAGTGAGGACATGGCTTTTTCAGTCCACAGCTAGGACAGAATTTCTTCCTTATTCTTCCTTTATTCTGCTTTTGTTGTACCTAAAGAGTGTAATTAGTCTACTTAATTGATCTTTAACTGATGAATGTTGTTTTCTTGCAACAATGTGCACTCTCTTCATGTTGTTGATTTATTGTGTGAGTTCATTAGGTGATTTAAGCCTCAGAAGGTGAAAGACATTACTTGTGAGTTACTAACACTGTGAGAGCCCTTCAGTGAATGTAAACAAATGAGCAAATGATTCCAGACAACTTCTCCTTTTTATCTAATTAGGAAAAATCTAAGAAAATGATGAACATGCTGAAGCATAGAAAAATCGTATTTATTACTCTTTTAAATCTCATATATAGACAACCTTTCAACTTTGAAAGTAAATTGGATGTTAATATTTTCATAGTGCAGTTTATGCCTCTATTGAAGTTAGTGTAGTTTATGCCTCTTTCTCCTACATCTGGGAATAAAAGTATCCATGTTACTGGCTGCAGAATATCCAGAATTCCCACCTTAGTTACTCTTTGGACTAAGGGTTTCAAAATATTCTGTATACATATAAAGAGGTTAACATATTTTGTCTTCATTAGCCATAACACCTTTAGTTATTATAGATTAGTTTAGTACATTAGTTCCACATTCCCAGTGGGGAAATGATGATACAGAATGGAGACTGATAATATGGGTGTGGGGTGAAACCCTGCTCAGTTGATCCAGATAGGGGTTTCTTGGTAGCTAGAATGGAGTCTTGAGCCTTTAGCATGTAGAAATATTAAGAAAATGTGAAAAGCACTGATTTTGGGGGTCACAAAAGTAATGAGAGAGAGAGTAGAAGAGACATTTTAAGCATCAAAGTACTTACGCCTGAAACCTGGAGGATACTCATGGTGGGATGTAGATCTCAGAGCCATTGGGTCTTTCATAGGCCCCCAACCTAGAGGTTCCTCCTCCCTCCTTTGCATTCAAAGACAACCTTAGCCTCATCTCATTTCAAATCTAACTAGGCCCCGGTTCTGTACAAGATCCAGATTGAGCAGTGGGGCTTGAAGTCAAGGCAGGCTATATTATTTCCTTTCTGGAGCTCATGGTCTGGTAAGGGAGATACCTCACTTCCAGGCTTTTCCACTTTACTAAGAACTTAACATTGGGTAGGTCACTTAACCTCTCTGAGCTTCAGTTTTCTCATCTGGAAAAGAATAATAATAGTGCCTACTTCACAGGTCTGTTAAGAGAATTCAGTGGGATAAAGCTGGTCTGGTAAAAGATGAAGTGAGTTATTATGGATAATTACAATGATGAAGCACTTAGCAAAATGCTTGGCACAAAGTAAGTACTCAGCAATTATGATCTGTTATAAGCAATTATTACTGACATACATGATGGTTGTAGCTTTTCTGAGACCTGAGATGACTACTTCAGATTACATTATGAATATTAACATTAGCTATTGCAGAAAATTTCCCAAGGTTCTTTATTCCTCATTCCATTGTGGGCCATTCTGCTTCTGGTGACATAGGCTCACAGTGATTCTTATACTTTAGTATGTAACAGAATTACCTGAGGAACATGTGAAAAATATACCTCCTGGCACATTGTCCAAAGATTCTGATTTAATAGTTCTAGAAGTCACTTTCAAGAATCTGAATTTTAAACAGGTATCATGTGAGTACTGATGGAGATGATTTTTGGATTGCATTTTGAGATAGTCTGGCCTGGAAACTCTCCAGTTGCCTTTTGGGAATATGGTGATTTTTCTGGATTGTTTTTCCATGTCTATCCAAATTCCTCCCAAACCAACTGTCACACCCATGAGAAGAAAAGGCTGGGAAAGATTCCCATAAAGTCAGCCAGAATAGAGAGGAAGGACTAATAGATACCAAGGGAAGATAAGATTTAAGGAGGGCAGAAGCAGGCCTTTTCCAATTAGGTCCATGGGGCTGCTTCTGGCACAGCAGGCACTCAAAGAGCAACAGTGCTTCTCACACTCACTGAGTTGGAGAAGAGGCAGGGTGCAGCTGGAAATGAGTATTCAGGAGCATGATCCTTAACAGAGCTTAATGAACAAAAATATAGTAACACAAAATCTTGCTAATGTAGTCTAATTGGGGCCTGAATAATTTTTTTAATTAACTTTTTTCAATTAAAAATGATAGAATATTTGAAAGGCAATTTTATTATAGTCAAGGAGCTACAGCAACCCGAACCAGTCCAACAAAGTGTTGCCAAGTAAAGGGCCTCTGGGAGCAAGTGTAATGAATTGAGAATTATTTGTCATCAGGAATTTGTATGTAAATGGATTTGTATGTAAATGGATGCTCCATAAGTGCTTGAAAACAGTTTGTTCTTCTAAGGGGTATAAATATGCCCCTGGTAATCATGTTTGCATGATTTTACTCACAACCTCCCCCATCCTTCCATCAGCTAGACAGTCCAGCTTTTACTTCTGGTAGAATTATTTCAAGTTAATTTGCAAAGCTCTGGAAATTATAATTTCCACTTAGAGAATGAATATGTAGCAAATTTTTGTGAATAGAACCAAAGTAAGTCTGAACTGGAAGGGAGCTTAGAGATTATTAATCCTTAAACTCATTTTACATATGGAGAAATTAAGGCTCAGAGCAAGAATGTGACTTATTCAAGGATGTACAGAATTGGGGTAGAGCTAGATCTGGATCCCAGATCTAGCACACTCCAGAGCAGCCTGCCTTCTACTGCACAGACCATACTGCCTCCTACTGAATGTCATTTACTATAACTTATACTGACAAGTAATGAATTTTTTCATTAGAATCCTGTTGTTTAACAATATTCTTTGTTTACTATCTAGATGTGAATTAATGAAACTCTCTATGAAGATAATAAGTTTCACATTGGCTTAAGAAGCAAAATTCCAAATTGGCATTTAAATTGATAACATAAGAGAGAGAAAACATTGCTATTACTTCAAAATGCAGGTGAAACATACAAAGAAACATTAACTCATGAAATGGATAAATGGCAAGAGATATAATTAGAGCTCTTGCCTTCAGCAAAATTGGGTCAGCAAGGTGTATCTGCATCAACCTCCACCTCACCTTGCCCATTTGTTCTTTCTATGCTCTGTCCCGTTTTCTGAAATACTTGAGAAACATTTGTTAAAGTAAAGAATAAAAGATGTAAATTGATATCAAAATGTTCTGGCAATGTCTTTCTTATGCAAATAGGAGAAAACTCAAATGGGAAAAGGTTCTATAATTTTCAGTAACCACTTTTTTTGCTATGGGTGAAAGCTAGATGGCCAGGTAATTTATTACATGAACCCTTTTGAGATTGAAAGGGGATGCTATTAATACTTACACTGGATCAACAGGCAGAAACTGCAACTGTCCCAGGCAAACAAAAACGTATCATAATTCATGAAAACAGATAGAACACAGTGTTAAGGAAAGCAGAGTACAGCACTACATGACTCAGGTATCCACAGAAGAATGGCTTATTTCACTTAGCATAATGTCCTCTAGATTTATCCACGTTGTTGCACATGACGGAATTTCCTTCTTTTTAAAAGTTGAGTGGGATTTCACTGTTTATATACTCTATGCTCATTGCAACATTATTCACAATAACCAAGATATGGAAACAAGCTAAATGCCCATAATGAATGAATGGATAAAAATATTGCATATATGGACAAAAAGAAGGCACAGAAAGACAAATACCATATATTCTCCTTTATATATGGAATCTAAAAAATCAAACTCATATAGATAGAAAGAGTAGAATGGAAGTTATCAGAAGATATTGGGGGTAGTGGACAGGGAATGGAGTGATGTTAGTCAAAGGTAAGAAACACTTTCTATTAGATAGCAGGAATAAGTTCTAATGATCTATTGCATATCATAGTTATTATAGTTAATAATAATGTCTTATATATTTCAAAATTGCTATAAGAATAGATTCCCAATGTTATCTCCACAAATAATAGGTAAGCAAGGTGATGAATATCTTAATTAGCTTGATTTAATTATTCCACAATGTATAAATGTATCATAACATCACATTATACCTCTTAAATATAGAAAAATAATATTTGTCAATTAAAAAACTAAAATTTTTAAGGAAGGCCTGAGAGAGACCCTTCTCTTCTTTTGTGAGGAGACAGCTAGAAAGCACCATCTCTGAACCAGATATTGGACCCTCATCAGAGATTGAATCAGCCAGCACCTTGATCTTGGACTTCACAGCTACTAGAACCATGAGAATAAATTTCTGTTGTTTAAAAGCAGCCCAGTGTAAGATATTTTGTTATAAAAGCCTAAGTCTAGTGGACTAAGACAAAGTTAATTGGCTTTAACTTCAAAACTTGTTATCATCTCTATGACTACCACTATCCCTTCCAGAATGGCTGTAAAGCCTCTTAACTGGTATTCCTGCTTCTGTTCTTCTCCCTGCAGTCTCCTACCCACAAAGAATTCAACCCAATATTTTAAAATTGTAAATAATATTTTTCACTCCTCTGTTTAAAACACTGTCCTTTAAAACCATTGCATTTATAATTAAATGTAAACAGCATATCATAGCCCTACATAATTTTTTTATTTTTTTGAGACAGAGTCTAGCTCTGTAGCCCAAGCTGGAGTACAGTGGCACGATCTCGGCTCACTGCAAGCTCTGCCTCTGGGTTCACACCATTCTCCTGCCTCAGCATCCCAAGTAGCTGGGACTACAGGCACCCACCACCACGCCTGGCTAATTTTTTGTATTTTTAGTAGAGATGGGGTTTCACCGTGTTAGCCAAGATGGTCTCAATCTCCTGACCTCGTGATCCACCTGCCTTGGCCTCCCAAAGTGCTGGGATTACAGGCGTGAGCCACCGCACCTGGCCCCCTACATAATTTGTCCTTTGCCTACCTCTACTCACTCATCTTATCCCACGTTCTCCCTAACTTACAATATTCCTATCACAAATGCTTCTTGTTTTCCCTCAAACGCAAGAAGTTCATTCTTGCGTTGTGACCTTTTCAGTTTCTCTTCCCTCTGTCTAGACTGCTCTTCACCAACATCTTTGCTTGGATGGTTCTTTGTTTTTGCAAATGTCATTTACGTAGAGTTACATCCTGTAACCATCTATAGCAGTGTTCAACTCTCTATCTTATTACCTTTTTAAATTTTCTTCTTGACATTTGTAACCATCCAAAATTTGTCTAGACAGTCATTCCTTGATATCCATGGGGGATTGGTTTCAGGATATCCTGCAGATACTATAATCCATGAATGCTCAAGTTTCTGAAATAAAATGGTGTAGTATTTGCACATAACCTGTGCACATTCTCCAGTAGTTTAAACTACTCTAATCATCTCTAGATTACTTATAATAACTAACACAAAATAAATGCTATCTATGTAGTGGAGGGCATAATGACAAAGGAAAAAAGCCTATACACATTCTCTACAGTTGCAATTTTTTCAAATATTTTTTATCTGTATTTGATTGAAGCCATGGATGTGGAACTCTCAGATATGGAGAGCTGACTTGTACTGCATTTCTTTTGTTGCCATGTTAAAATGAAAGTTTTTTGTAAGCAGGCACTTTGTTCCATTTTCTGCTGTATCACTAGTACTGGAACAGTGCTAAGCACATAGCAGTCACTCAAAAAATAGTGCTGAATGCATGACTATAGATAAGCCATTATCTTTTGAATAACTCAAGGAAACATAAACCCATTGCTAATATTAGGTAGGGGGAAACTTAATATCATTTACTATTCAAACCCAAAACATATCACTGATTATGCCAAAATGTACAATTTACAACACTGACAATGACTTAATGGAAGCCTTAAGACAAAACTGTGACATCCAAATACTTTAATTGCAACAACAATCTCTTAACCTACAAACCAAGTCTACCTCGCTTTTGGATCACTGAAATCTGTTTAATGTCCTGATGTTTATGTTTTGAAAATCATCTCTCTATAAAAACATATTATTAAATGTATTGTTTAAAGAAATTGGAGTGAATGAAAATGGATAATTACCTAACAACTCCTGACCATCAAATGCAGAATTGTGCATCCCTATTCTGGTCTAGTCATGTAAAATCAAAGGCTATTGGCAGAGGAAGTCCAGTCTAAAGTCGTATTCTTTGCTGCCGATATTAGTTTTCTGGGACTTTACTGGATTTTCCTCAGCATGTTGATATACTTTGCAGAGGTAAAAGTTTAAGTTGGATCAGTTTATCCTGTTACATATTACTAACGATGTGCTCAAATGGTGACTTAGACTTAGCATTTGTTTGACATGGCCAAAAGGGTTAGTTATTTTAACTGGCAAATAGCAAACTATGTACATCTGTCCAGGCAGGATCTAGCAGCTGTCATAAAGGAAGCAAATGACTGCTACTTCTAGCTATTTTCTTCTTTTTTTTATGTTTTATTATACTTTAAGTTTTAGGGTACATGTGCACATTGTGCAGGTTAGTTACATATGTATACATGTGCCATGCTGGTGCGCTGCACCCACTAACTCATCATCTAGCATTAGGTATATCTCCCAGTGCTATCCCTCCACCCTCCCCCCACACCACAACAGTCCCCAGAGTGTGATATTCCTCTTCCTGTGTCCATGTGTTCTCATTGTTCAATTCCCACCTATGAGTGAGAATATGCGGTGTTTGGCTTTTTGTTCTTGCCATAGTTGTTTACTGAGAATGATGATTTCCAATTTCATCCATGTCCCTACAAAGGACATGAACTCATCATTTTTTTATGGCTGCATAGTATTCCATGGTGTATATGTGCCACATTTTCTTAATCCAGTCTATCATTGTTGGACATTTGGGTTGGTTCCAAGTCTTTGCTATTGTGAATAATGCCGCAATAAACATACATGTGCATGTGTCTTTATAGCAGCATGATTTATAGTCCTTTGGGTATATACCCAGTAATGGGATGGCTGGATCAAATGGTATTTCTAGTTCTAGATCCCTGAGGAATCATCACACTGACTTCCACAATGGTTGAACTAGTTTACAGTCCCACCAACAGTGTAAAAGGGTTCCTATTTCTCCACATCCTCTCCAGCACCTGTTGTTTCCTGACTTTTTAATGATTGCCATTCTAACTGGTGTGAGATGGTATCTCACTGTGGTTTTGATTTGCATTTCTCTGATGGCCAGTGATGATGAGCATTTTTTCATGTGTTTTTTGGCTGCATAAATGTCTTCTTTTGAGAAGTGCCTGTTCATGTCCTTCGCCCACTTTTTGATGGGGTTGTTTGTTTTTTTCTTGTAAATTTGTTTGAGTTCATTGTAGATTCTGGATATTAGCCCTTTGTCAGATGAGTAGGTTGCGAAAATTTTCTCCCGTTTTGTAGGTTGCCTGTTCACTCTGATGGTCGTTTCTTTTGCTGTGCAGAAGCTCTCTAGTTTAATTAGATCCCATTTGTCAATTTTGTCTTTTGTTGCCATTGCTTTTGGTGTTTTAGACATGAAGTCCTTGCATCTCCTGGAGTGAGCTTCCCCACATTATTCTAGAATATGTGATGGCTGCAGCTTGTTGATCTAACTGACCAAGCCAAGAATTTATACTTGGAGTGACTTGGTTTCCCAAGGGCTGAGTTTAATCCCAGAGGTTTCTAGGACCTAGGCCATTTATTATTGACACTAAGGGGTTTACATTTTCTCTCATTCTCTCTTCCCCTCTATTTCTCTACTTCCTCCTCCTACTTTTAAAAAATATAATGTCTTTCTTTTTGAGACCAGGTCTCATTCTGTCACCCAGGCTGAAGTGTATTGGTGTGATTACAGCTCATTGCAACGTTGACCTCCAGGCTCAAGCAATTCTCCTACCACAGCCTCCCTGGTAGTTAGGATCACAGGTGCACAGCATCACACCAAGCTATTTTTTTTTTAGTAGATATGAGGTCTCACTATGTTGCCCAGTCTGCTGTCAAACTTCTGGGCTCCAGCAATCCTCCCACCTGGGCCTCCCATAGTGCTGAGATTACAGGCATGAGCCACCATGCCCAACCTAAGATGATGTATTTTACTCCTTTTTTATTTATTTGTTTCTTTCTTTTTACCCTAACTTTTGTAAGAAAAAATATTTACTTTTTGGCCCCTGTATTGAAACTATTCCTTAGGGCATTCGTGGTCTAAATATAGTCAGTATTTTTTTTTCTGAGCAATTACAGTGTGCCCAGTAATGCTGAGCAGCAGGATGTCATTTTTGGATTGTGCTTCTCAGACTTCAAAAAGATTCCATGATATTGTGTCAGAACCATCCTGGAAGTAGGTTTTAGGATTCAGTAGAGGAGTTCAGTAGAAGGAGGAAAAGTACGGCTAAGTGGATGGAATCTGTGTCATCAACTCTGTTGAATAAGGGCAGACCTATTTTTACCTCTTTTATTCATTGACATCCTGTGTTAGATAGTTCTTTAAAAAAAAAGGTCCACCACTAAGGAAATGGTTGAAAATTACTGGTATTTTGGAAAGAGCAAGCAAGCATGGGCATTTGTTTAAACCTTAGTTAACATTTTATTTTGAAAGATCTGTGGTTTAGATAGCCTATATACATATATTTGTGTGAGCCTATTTAAATTCTCTAAGCCACAGAATCCTCATTCCTAAACGAAAGAAAATGTTTATCTTACAGATTTTCTCCTGAATTAAATGAAATAAGAAAACATAGGCCAGGGGTGGTGTCTCACACCTGTAATCCCAGCACTTTGGGAGGCCCAGGCGGGTGAATTACGAGGTCAGGAGTTCAAGACCAGCCTGGCCAGCATGGTGAAACCCCATCTCCACTAAAAATACAAAGATTAGCTGGGCATGGTGGCATGTGTCTGTAATCTCAGCTACTCGGGAGGCTGAGGCAGAAGAATAGCTTGAAACCGGGAGGCGGAGGTGGCAGTGAGCCAAGATCATGCCACTGCACTTTAGCATGGGAGACAAAGCAAGACTCCTTCTCAAAAATATATGTATATAAATTAAAGCACTTATAACAGTGTCTGGCAGGCACTATGCAGTCAATGAATATTAGTTTGCAAAGTGCTATGGTGGACAGAGAAAAACAGTAAGTAAATATTCTAATTCACAGAATGTTTATATTCTAGCTAGGATGAACTGATTAATATACTTGAGACTATTAAAATATAGTTTATTATTGTATGTGGGTTTAGATAAGAAAAATGTAAATTCTGAAGAGATAGGGCTGCATGAATATTTTGGAGAGATATTTTTGCTTAAGTTTCTTATCAGATCTCAAAGCTTTTGGACATAGACTATGGGGTTTTCTAGGTATACAACTATATCATCTGCAAACATTGATAGTTTGACTCACTCGATTCCTATTTGGATGCATTTCATTTTTCTCTCTTGCCAGATTTCTCTGGCTAGGTCTTCCACTAGTGTCTTGAATAGGAATGGTATGAGTGGGCAACCTTGGCTTGTTTTGGTTCTCAATAGATATGTTTCTAACTTTTGTCCATTTAATATAATCTTTGTTGTAGGTTTGTCCTAGATGGCTGTCATTATTTTGAGGTATGTTTCTTCAATGACTGCATAGTTTGTTGAAGGTTTTCAACAAAAAGGGATGCTGAACTTTATTTAAATAATTTTCAGTATATATTGAGAACATCAATGGGGTTTTTGTCTTTAGTTCTGTTTATGTGATTAATCACATTTATTGATTTGCGTATATTAAACCAACCTTGCATTCCAGGGATAAAGCCTACTTGATTGTGGTGGTTTAGCTTTTTGATGTGCTACTGGATTTGCTTTGCTGGTATTTTATTGAGGATTTTTCATTTTTGTTCATCAAGGATATTGGCCTCAAGTTTTCCTTTTAGTTGTATCTTTGCCAGGTTTTGGTGTCAGGATGATGCTGGCCTCATAGAATGAATTAGGGTATATTCCTTCCTCCTCTGTTTTGGAATACTTTCAGTAGTAATGGTGCCAGCTCTTCTTTACACATTTGGTGAAATTCAGCTGTGAATTCATCTGGACCTGGGCCTTTTTGATTGGTAGGTTTTCTATTACTGATTCAATTTCAGAACTCCTTATTGGTCTGCTCAGGTTTTGAATTTCTTCCTGGTTTAGTCTTGGGAAGAGGTATGTTTCCAGAAATTTATCCTTTAGTTTAGGTTTTCTATTTTGTGTGCATGTAAACATTCATATTAGTCTCTGTTGGTTTTTTGTCTTTCTGTGGGATTGGTGGTAATGTCCACTTTTTCATTTCTGATTTTGTCTACTTGGATCTTCTCTTTTTTCTTTAGCAGCCTAGCTAGTGGTTTATCTATTGTATTTATTCTTTCAAAAAACCAACTTCTGGTTTTGATGTATTTTGGATTTTTTTTTTTTGCATCTCACTTTTATTCAATTCAGCTTTGATTTTGGTTATTTATTGCCTCTGCTAGCTTTGGGAATAGTTTGCTATTGTTTATCTATGTCCTCAAGGTATAATATTAAGTGAAGTGGAGATCATTCTAACTTTTTGATCTGGGCATTTAGCACTATAAACTTATCTCTTAGCATGGCTTTAGCTATATCCCAGTGATTCTGGAATTTTGTGTTTTTATTTTCATTAATTTCCTAGTTATTTTTATTTCTGCTTTAATTTTATTGTTTACCAGAAGTAATTCAGGAGAAAGTTGTTTAACTTCTATGTAATTGTGTAATTTTCAGCAATCTCCTTAGTACCACTTTCTATTTTTATTGCACTGTGGTACGAGAGACTTGTTGGTATGATTTCAACTGTTTTGCATTTGCTGAGGATGTTTTATGCCTGATTGTGTGTTGCTTTTAGAATATGTACCATGTGCCATTGAGAAGAATGCACATTTTGTTATTTTGAGTGGAGACTTCCATAGATGTCTATTAGGTCCATTTGGTCCAGTGTTTAGTTCAAGTCCTGAATATCTTTGTTAATTTTCTGACTTGATGATCTGTCTAATGCTATCAGTGAGGTGTTGAAATCTCCCACCATAATTGTTGGGAGTCTAACTCTCTAAATAACTCTAAGAACTTGATTTATGAATCTGGGTGCTCCTGTGTTTGGGTGCATATATATTTAGTACAATTAGGTCTTCTTGTCGAACTGAACCTGTTACCAGTACATAATGTCCTTCTTTGTCTTTTTTGATCTTTATTGTTTTAAAGTCTGTTTTATGTGAAATTAGAATTGCAACCCTGATATTTTTTTCTGTCTTCTGTTTTCTTGGTTCATTTTTCTCCATCCCTTTACTTTGGAGACTATCACTGTCATTGGATGTGAAATGGGGGTCTCTTCAGGACAGCATACAGTTGAGTCTTCATTCTTCATCCAACTTGGCACTCTGTGACTTTTAGGTGGGGCAATTAGCATGTTTAAATTCAAGGTAAATGTTGATATGTGCATATTAGGTCTTGTAATCGTATTGTTAGCTTATTGTTTTGCAGACCTGATTGTTTAATTGCTTTATAGTGTCAATGGTTTATATACGTAAGTGTAAGTGTTTTTTTCCAGTTGCTGGAAACAGTCGTTCCTTTCAATGTTTAGCACTCCCTTAAGGACTTCTTGTAAGTTGGGTCTGGTGGTAACAAATTCCGTTAGAATTTACTTGTCTGAAAATGATTTAATTTCTCCTTCACTTTTGATGCTTAGTTTTGCTGGGTATGAGATTCTTGGCTAAAAATCCTTTTCTTTATGAATTCTAAATATAGGCTCTTAATCTATTTTGGCTTGTAGTGTTTCTGCTGAAGCACCCACTGTGAACCTTACAGGGTTCCTTTTGTAGTTGAGCTGCCTCTCCTGTCTAGCTACCTTTGACATTTTTTTTTTATGTTGACCTTGGAGAATCTGATGACTATACATCTTGGGGATGGTCGTCTGGTATAGTATCTTGCAGGAATTCTCTGTATTTCCTGCATTTGAATGTTCTCTCTATTGAGGGTGGGGTAATTTTAGTGGACAATATTCTCAGATATGTTTTCCAAGTTGCTTTTTCTCTCTCTTTTTTCCTGGGACACCAGTGCATCTTAGATTTGGTTTTTTTACATGGTCTTATATTTCTCAGAGGTGTTGTTTACTCTTTTTTATTATTTATTCTTTATTTTTGTCTGACTGATTTAGTTTGGAGGACTAGTCTCTGAGCTCTGACATTCTTTCTTCAACTCAGTCTGTTCTGCTGTTAATACCTGTGATTGTATTATGAAGTTCTTGTAGTATGGTTTTCAGCTCTATTAGATAAGTTTGGTCTTTCTTAAAATGGGCATTTTGTCTTTCTGCTCTTATATTGTTTTATTCTAGTCCTTATATTTCTTGGATTGGGCTTGAATTTTTTCGTGAATCTCAATAATCATTGTTCCTATCCATATTCTGAATTACATTTCTGGCATTCTAGTCATTTCAGCCTAGCTAGGAACCATAGCTGGGCAACTAGTGTGGTCATTTGGAGGAAGGGAGACACTCTGGCTATTTGAGTTACCAGCGTTCTTTCACTGATTCTTTCTCATCTGTGTGGGCTGATGTTCCTTAACTTTGGTGGAATTTGTGTACAGTCAGTTAACTTTGTAACTGAATGTTTTCAGTTATTCATATCTGGATGTTTTCAAAAGCATGAGGATTTATGCTGGGTCTTTATTTGTAGCTTAATTCTTATCTTTGTTTCACAGGAAGGTATATTAGCGAAGTATTTTTGGTGGTTCAATGTATCCTGTAATCCAGTAGATGGCATTTACACTTAATGGCCTGTATGTAGGCTTTTGCTTAGCCACATGGCTCTCCTGTGTTTTCTCACATTTGCACCTGTTCTCCCTCTTAGTGTTCTGTGTGGGCTCCTCTCCCACTTGAGTGCTGGCTGCAGATCTCAGCTTGGCACTGCTGGATTTCAGGTCAGTTGAAGAAGGAGCTGGAAAGCAGCAAAAATAGTTATCCTCTTGTTACCAGTGGAAGGCGCCCAGGTTACCAGCAACAGATCTCTTCAGGTCTTCAGCGACCTCAATTTTTGCCTCCTCAGAAAAAAGAATTTGACTGAGGGGTATAAGGCTTTAAAAAAGACTGAGGCAAGTTTCAGAGCAGGAGTGGAAGTTTATTTAAAAAGGCTTTAGGACAGGAAAGAAAGGAAAATACACTTAGATAAAACCCAGTAGGCACATGAAGGTCAAATGCCATATTTAACCGTGATCCTAGGACTTCATAGGCTGACCCCTTCTTCATGATTCTTCCCTTAGGGTGGGCTGTCTGCATGCACAGTGCCCTTCTTACCCTTGGGAGGTTAGCACGTGCAGTGTGTTTACGGAAGCTGTATGCATGTCCATCAGAGGCTTTCTTCTCTTTTCCAGTGGAGTGCCCCAGAAGGTCATATTCTGCCATTTTGTCTCTTAATCCACATGCCCAGGAAGTTGCTTCTCCCTGGCATCTGCATTCAATTAACCCTTTAGTGTAACAGGTGTGGACCATCAGGAAATGGCTTCTCCCTGGCACTGGCTGCCAATTTGTCACTTTTAGAGAGTCAATGTGATAATTGCTGAGCCATCACCTGACATTCCTAGTGGGTGGAGGACAGCCCTCTCCAGCCCAGCTCATGCCTGCTTAACTACCTGTAACACTCCCTCCTTCCACTGGCAGCTCTATCCCAGGAAATGCAGAGTTGTGACTTGCCTGAGAGCCTAGGTTGTGTTGGTGTGGCTGGGGTTCCAGATTGGGAGGTAGTAGCATGGGCATGGTGAGTAGTAGGGGCATGGGCCTACATGGAAAATAGTCTGGCCTCTTTTACATAATGCAGCTGTGCCATGCCGTAATCACTTCACTCCTTTCCGAGGCCAAGGGCAGTAGGAGTGGGAGCTGTGAGACAGAAAAACTGGTGAACCTGTCTGATCCCATTGGGTGCTCTATCCCAGGGAAGTGCAGGGCTATTACTGACCCAAGAGCTCAGGTGGGGCTGGGGTAGCCATGTTAGCATCGCACGCCAGTGGGCCTTGTCCAGCAAGGTGCACTGGAGACAAGGCCTGCAGTCTGTCTGCGTTTTAGCCCTGTAAATTCAGCCCCTATTCTGGGGTCATGTGAAGGAGCCAGGCCTCACCTGTGGCTAGAGCTGCAGCCACTGATGCCAGGATGTCTAGGCATCCAAGGCACCTGGGACTCCAACTGAGCCTAAGCAGTTGCTCTGCCCAGACTCCATGTAGCTCTCTCTATCAGTCTGCAGGTGGAGGCCCAGCTTTGGGTGCAGGTCATGGGGATCTCCTAAGCTCCAAATTCCAAAAGTCTGTGGCAGAAATGTTGTTAGGGCTCTCAGTCACTCACAACTTCCTCCTGGTGGGGAGCCGCCCCCTCACTCTAAGCCAGTATAAGGGGGGTGGCTGTCTTTTTTTTATTTTCTCTGTTCTCTGTGGGTCTTGTTGCTTCCTTAATGAATCCCAACATGTTCACCTGGATATTCCAGTTGAGGAGCTAGTGTTTACTCACCACTCTTTCTCCTCTCCATTAAAGCAGTTCATACTAACTACTTCTAGTCAGCCATCTTCCAGGTTCTTTATCCCCAGATATTTTACTTTTTATTGTAGCAATTGTCAATGGGATTGCATTCATGATTTGGTTCTCAGGTTGATCATTATTGTTGTATAGAAATGTTAATGATTTTTAAAATTGATTTTTATATCCTGAAACTTTACTGAAGTTGTTTACCAAATGTAAAAGTATTTGAAGGTGTCTTTTGAAGATGTTTTACTTACAGGATTATATCATCAGCAAACAGAGATAATTTGACTTCCTGTTTTCCAATTTAAATACCTTTTATTTCTTTTTCTTGTCAGATTCCTCTAGTTAGGATGTCCAATACTATGTTCAATAACAGCAGTGATATTGAGCATCATTTTTTTGTTCCATTTCTTAGGGAAAAATGCTTTCAACTTTTCCCCATTCAGTATAAAATTGGCTGTTGATTTGTGTTATATGGATTTTTATTATTTTGAAATATGTTCCTTCTATGCCTAATTTATTGTGGGTTTTGATAATAAAGAGATACTAAATTTCCTTGTAAATTTAGAGACTTCTGAAAAGAAGCTATTTATGTGGCCAACAAACATATGAAAAAAAACTTATCATAACTGGTCATTAGAAAATTGCAAGTCAAAACCACAATGAGATACCATCTCATGCCAGTTAGAATGGCGATCATTAAAAAGTCAGGAAACAAAAGATGCTGGAGAGGATGTGGAGGAATAAGAACACTATTGGGTGGGAGTGTGAATTAGTTCAACCATTGTGGAAGACAGTGTGGTGATTCCTCAAGGATCTAGAACCAGAAGTGCCATTTGACCCAGCAATCTCATTACTGAATATATATCCAAAGGATTATAAATTATTCTACTATAAAGACACATGCACATGTATGTTTATTGCATCACTATTCACAAGAGCAAAGACTTGAAACCAACCCAAATGCCTATTAATGATAGACTCAATAAAGAAAATGTGGCACACATACAGCATGGAATACTATGCAGCCATATAAAAGAATGAGTTCATGTCCTTTGCAGGGACGTGGATGAAGCTGGAAACCATCATTCTCAGCAAACTAACACAGGAACAGAAAACCAAACACTGCATGCTCTCACTCATAAGTGAGAGTTGAATAATGAGAAAACATGGACACAGGGAGGGGAACATCACACACCAGGGCCTGTCATGGGGTAGGGGATAAGGGAGGGATAGCATTAGGAGAAATAGCTAAGGTAGATGACGGATCAATGGGTGCAGCAAACCACCATGGCACATGTATACCTACATAACAAACCTGCATATTCTGCACATGTAACCCAGAACTTAAAGTACATATAAAAAAAGATACTAAATTTTATCAAATTCTTTTTCTGCATCTATTGAGATGAACGTATGGTTTTGGCTTTTTATTCTTTTTTTAATTTTATTATTATTATACTTTAAGTTTTAGGGTACATGTGCACAATGTGCAGGTTAGTTACATATGTATACACGTGACATGCTGGTGTGCTGCACCCATTAACTCGTCATTTAGCATAAGGTATATCTCCTAATGCTATCACTCCCCCCTCCCCCCACCGCACAACAGTCCCCAGAGTGTGATGTTCTTCTTCCTGTGTCCATGTGTTCTCATTGTTCAATTCCCACCTATGAGTGAGAACATGTGGTGTTTGGTTTTTTGTCCTTGTGATAGTTTGCTGAGAATGATGGTTTCCAATTTCATCCATGTCCCTACAAAGGACATGAACTCATCATTTCTTATGGCTGCATAGTATTCCATGGTGTATATGTGCCACATTTTCTTAATCCAGTCTATCATTGTTGGACATTTGGGTTGGTTCTAAGTCTTTGCTATTGTGAATAGTGCCACAACAAACATATGTGTACATGTGTCTTTATAGCAGCATGTTTTATAATCCTTTGTGTATATACCCAGTAATGGGATGACTGGGTCAAATGGTACTTCTAGTTCTAGATCCCTGAGGAATCACCACACTGACTTCCACAATCGTTGAACTAGTTTACAGTCCCACCAACGGTGTAAAAGTGTTCCTATTTCTCCACATACTCTCCAGCACCCATTGAATCCTGACTTTTTAATGATTGCCATTCTAACTGGTGTGAGATGGTATCTCATTGTGGTTTTGATTTGCATTTCTCTGATGGCCAATGATGGTGAGCATTTTTTCATGTGTTTTTTGGCTGCATAAATGTCTTCTTTTGAGAAGTGCCTGTTCATGTCCTTCGCCCACTTTTTGATGGGGTTGTTTGTTTTTTTCTTGTAAATTTGTTTGAGTACATCGTAGATTCTGGATATTAGCCCTTTGTCAGATGAGTAGGTTGCAAAAATTTTCTCTCACTCTATAGGTTGCCTGTTCACTCTGATGGTAGTTTCTTTTGCTGTGCAGAAGCTCTTTAGTTTAATTAGATCCCATTTGTCAATTTTGGCTTTTGTTGCCATTGCTTATTGTGTTTTGGACATGAAGTCCTTGCCCATGCCTATGTCCTCAATGGTATTGCCTAGGTTTTCTTCTAGGGTTTTTATGGTTTTAGGTCTAACATTTAAGTCTTTGATCCATCTTGAATTAATTTTTGTATAAGGTGTAAGGAAGTGATCCAGTTTCAGTTTTCTACATATGGCTAGCCAGTTTTCAAAGCACCATTTATTAAATAGGGAATCCTTTCTCCATTGCTTCTTTTTGTCAGGTTTGTCAAAGATCAGATGGCGATAGATGTGTATTATTATTTCTGAGGGTTCTGTTCTGTTCCATTGGTCCATATCTCTGTTTTGGTACCAGTACCATGCTGTTTTGGTTACTGTAGCCTTGTAGTATAGTTTGAAGTCAGGTAACGTGATGCCTCCGGCTTTGTTCTTTTGACTTAAGATTGACTTGGTGATGCCGGCTCCTTTTTGGTTCCATATGAACTTTAAAGTAGTTTTTTCCAATTCTGTGAAGAAAGACATTGGTAGCTTGATGGGAATGACATTGAATCTATAAATTACCTTGGGCAGTATGGCCATTTTCACGATATTGATTCTTCCTATCCATGAGCATGGAATGTTCTTCCATTTGTTTGTGTCCTCTTTTATTTCGTTGACCAGTGGTTTGTAGTCCTTCACATCCCTTGTAAGTTGGATTCCTAGGTATTTTATTCTCTTTGAAGCAATTATGAATGGGAGTTCACTCATGATTTGGCTCTCTGTCTGTTATTGGTGTATAAGAATGCTCGTGATTTTTGCACATTGATTTTGTATCCTGAGACTTTGCTGAAGTTGCTTATCAGCTTAAGGAGATTTTGGACTGAGACTATGGGGTTTCTAAATATACAATTATGTCATCTGCAAACAGGGACAGTCTGACTTCCACTTTTCCTAATTGAATACCCTTTTTTTATTTCCCTGCCTGATTGCCCTGGCCAGAACTTCCAACACTATGTTGAATAAGAGTGGTGAGAGAGGGCATCCCTGTCTTGTGCTGGTTTTCAAAGGGAATGCTTCCAGTTTGTGCCCATTCAATATGATATTGGCTGTGGGTTTGTCATAGATAGCTCTTATTATTTTGAGATATGTCCCATCAATACCTAATTTATTTAGAGTTTTTAGCATGAAGGGCTGTTGAATTTTGTCAAAGGCCTTTTCTGCATCTACTGAGATAATAATGTGGTTTTTGTCATTGGTTCTGTTTATATGCTGGATTACATTTATTGATTTGTGTATGTTGAACCAGTCTTGCATCCCAGGGATGAAGCCCACTTGATCATGGGGGATAAGCTTTTTGAAGTGCAGCTGGATTTGGTTTGCCAGTATTTTACTGAGGATTTTTGCATCGATGTTCATCAGGGATATTGGTCTAAAATTCTCTTTTTTTTGTTGTGTCTCTGCCCGGCTTTGGTATCACGATGGTGCTGGTCTCATAAAATGAGTTAGGGAGCATTCTCTCTTTTTCTATTGATTGGAATAGTTTCAGAAGGAATGGTACCAGCTCCTCCTTCTACCTCTGGTAGAATTCGGCTGTAAATCCATCTGGTTCTGGACTTTTTTTGGTTGGTAGACTATTGATTATTGCCTCAATTTCAGAGCCTGTTATTGGTCTATTCAGGGATTCAACTTCTTCCTGGTTTAGTCTTGGGAGAGTGTATGTGTCCAGGAATTTATCCGTTTCTTCTAGATTTTCTAGTTTATTTGTGTAGAAGTGTTTGTAGTATTCTCTGATGGTAGTTTGTACTTCTGTGGGATTGGTGGTGATATCACCTTTATCATTTTTTATTGCATCTATTTGATTCTTCCTCTTTTCTTCTTTATTAGTCTCGCTATTGCTCTATCAATTTTGTTGATCTTTTCAAAAAACCAGCTCCTGGATTCATTGATTTTTTGAAGGGTTTTTTGTGTCTCAGTCTCCTTCAGTACTGCTCTGATCTTATTTATTTCTTGCCTTCTGCTAGCTTTTGAATGTGTTTGCTCTTGCTTCTCTAGTTCTTTTAATTGTGATGTTAGTGTGTCAATTTTAGATCTTTCCTGCTTTCTCTTGTGGGCATTTAGTGCTATAAATTTCCCTCTACACACTGCTTTGAATGTGTCCCAGAGATTCTGGTATGTTGTGTCTTTGTTCTTGTTGGTTTCAAAGAACATCTTTATTTCTGCCTTCATTACATTATTTACCCAGTAGTCATTCAGGAGCAGGTTGTTCAGTTTCCATGTAGTTGAGCGGTTTTGAGTGTGTTTCTTAATCCTGAGTTCTAGTTTGATTGCACTTTGGTCTGAGAGACAGTTTGTTATAATTTCTGTTCTTCTACATTTGCTGAGGAGTGCTTTACTTCCAACTATGTGGTCAATTTTAGGGTAGGTGTGGTGTGGTGCTGAGAAGAATGTATATTCTGTCGATTTGGGGTAGAGAGTTCTGTAGATGTCTATTAGGTCCACTTGGTGCAGAGCTGAGTTCAATTCCTGAATATCCTTGCTAACTTTCTGTCTTGTTGATCTGTCTAATGTTGACAGTGGAGTGTTAAAATCTCCCATTATTATTGCGTGGGAGTCCAAGTCTATTTGTAGATCTCTAAGGACTTGCTTTATGAATCTGGGTGCTCCTGTATTGGGTGCATATATATTTAGGGTAGCTAGCTCTTCTTGTTAAATTGATCCCTGGACCATTATATAATAGCCTCCTTTGTTTCTTTTGATCTTTGTTGGTTTAAAGTCTGTTTTATCAGAGACTAGGATTGCAATCCCTGCTTTTTTTGTTTTCCATTTGCTTGGTAGATCTTCCTCCATCCCTTTATTTTGAGCCTATGTGTGTCTCTGCACGTGAGATGGGTTTCCTGAATACAGCACACTGATGGGTCTTGACTCTTTATGCCATTTGCCAGTCTGTGTCTTTTCATTGGAGCATTTAGTCCATTTACATTTAAAGTTAATATTGTTATGTGTGAATTTGATCCTGTCATTATGATGTTAGCTGGTTATTTTGCCCATTAGTTGATGCAGTTTCTTCCTAGCATTGATGGTCTTTACAATTTGGCATGTTTTTGCAGTGGCTGGTACTGGTTGTTCCTTTCCATGTTTAGTGCTTCCTTCAGGAGCTCTTTTAGGGCAGGCCTGGTGGTGACAAAATCTCTCAGTGTTTGCTTGTCTATAAAGGATTTTATTTCTTCCTCACTTATGAAGCTTACTTTGGCTGGATATGAAATTCTGGGTTGAAAATTCTTTTCTTTAAGAATGTTGAATATTGGCCCCCACTCCCTTCTGGCTTGTAGAGTTTCTGCTGAGAGATCAGCTGTTAGTCTGATGGGCTTCCCTTTGTGGGTAACCTGACCTTTCTCTCTGGCTGCACTTAACAATTTTTCCTTCATTTCAACTTTGGTGAATCTGACAATTATGTGTCTTGGGGTTGCTCTTCTCAAGGTGTATCTTTGTGGCATTCTCTTTATTTCCTGAATTTGAATGTTGGCCTGCCTTGCTAGATTGGGAAGTCTCCTGGATAATATCCTGCAGAGTGTTTTCCAACTTGTTTGCATTCTCCCCATCACTTTCAGGTACACCAATCGGACATAGATCTGTTCTTTTCACATAGTCCCATATTTCTTGGAGGATTTGTTCATTTCTTTTTATTTTTTTTCTGTAAACTTCTCTTCTCATTTTGTTTCATTCATTTCATCTTCCATCACTGATACCCTTTCTTCCAATTGATCACATCGGCTCCTGAGGCTTCTGCATTTGTCCTGTAGCTCCTGTGCCTTGGTTTTCAGCTCCATCAGGTCCTTTAAGGACTTGTCTGCATTGGTGATACTAGTTATCCATTCATCTAATTTTTTTTCAAAGTTTTTGACTTCTTTGCCATTGGTTCGAATTTCCTTCTATAGCTTGGGGTAGTTTGATCATCTGCAGCCTTCTTCTCTCAACTCTTCATAGTCATTCTCTGTCCAGTTTTGTTCTGTTGCTGGTGAGGAGCTGCGTTCCTTTGGAGGAGGAGAGGTGCTCTGATTTTTAGTGTTTCCAGTTTTTCTGCTCTGTTTTTTTCCCATCTTTGTGGTTTTATCTACCTTTGATCTTTGATGATGGTGACGTACAGATGGGTTTTTGGTGTGGATGTCCTTTCTGTTTGTTAGTTTTCCTTCTAACAGACAGGACCCTCAGCTGTAGGTCTGTTGGAGTTTGCTGGAGTTCCACTCCAGATCCTGTTTGCCTGGGTATCAGCAGTGGTGGCTGGAGAACAGCAGATATTGGTGAACTGCAGATGCTGCTGCCTGATCATTCCTTTGGAAGTTTTGTCTCAGAGGAGTACCCGGCCGTGTGAGGTGTCAGTCCACCCCTACTGGAAGGTGCCTCCCAGTTAGGCTACTCGGTGGTCAGGGACCCACTTGAGGAGGCAGTCTGCCCATTCTCAGATGTTAAGCTGCCTGCTGGGAGAACCACTACTCTCTTCAAAGCTGTCATAGAGGGACATTTAAGTCTGCAGAGGTTACTGCTTCCTTTTGTTTTTCTGTGCCCTGCCCCCAGAGGTGGAGCCTATAGACGCAGGCAGGCCTCCTTGAGCTGTGGTGGGCTCCACCCAGTTCGAGCTTCCCCGCAGCTTTGTTTACCTACTCAAGCCTCAGCAATGGCGGTCACCCCTCCCCCAGCCTCGCTGCTGCCTTACAGTTTGATCTCGGACTTCTGTGCTAGCAATGAGTGAGACTCCATGGGCATAGGACCCTCTGAGCCAGGTGTGAGATATAATCTCCTAGTGTGCCGTTTTTTATGCCCATTGTAAAAGTGCAGTATTAGGGTGGGAGTGACCCGATGTTCCAGGTGCCATCTGTCACTGCTTTCTTTGACTAGGAAAAGGAATTCCCTGACCCTTTGTTCTTCCCAGGTGAGGCGATGCCTCACCCTGCTTCAGCTCATGCACGGTGTGCTGCACCCACTGTCCTGCACCTACTGTCTGGCACTCCCCAGTGAGATGAACCCGGTACCTCAGTTGGAAATGCAGAAATCACCTGTCTTTTTTTTCGCTCACTCTGGGAGCTGTAGACCGTAGCTGTTCCTATTTGGCCATCTTGGCTCCTCCTCTGACTTTAAATTTTACCATTTATAATTTATTAGTACATTTATTAATTTAAAGATATTGAACAGCACTAGGTGTTAAACTAGGAACTAGAGATATAATATCAAACAAAAGCTGACATAGTTTCTGCCCTCATGGAGCATACACATTAATGAAGAAGACAGATAGACAATAATGAAAGAATTACACAAATAAAAGCCAAATTTCAAGTGTGAGAATGACTCTGGGGGAGACTGGTGCTGTGAGAGTGACACTAACTAACAGAAAGGAGGATGTCTACCTTGGAGAATTGATCTGAATTGAAAAAGAATGATGTAGAGCTGGGAGCCAAGATGGCTGAATAGGAAAAGCTCCAGTCTACAGCTCCCAGGGTGAGCGATGCAGAAGATGGGTGATTTCTGCATTTCCAACTGAGTTACCAGGTTTTTCTCACTGGGGAGTGCCAGAGAGTGGGTGCAGGACAGTGGGTGCAGCTTGCCGTGCATGAGCCGAAGCAAGGTGAGGCATCGCCTCACCCGGGAAGTGTAAGGGGTCAGGGAATTCCCTTTCCTACTCAAAGAAAGCAGTGACAGATGGCACCGGGAAGATCAGGTCACTCCCACCCTAATACTGCGCTTTTCCAAAGGGCTTAACAAATGGCACACTAGGAGAATTATATCTCACAGCTGGCTCAGAAGTTCCTATGCCCACGGAGCCTCACTCATTGCTAGCACAGCAGTCTGAGATCAAACTGCAAGGTGGCAGCGAGGCTGGGGGAGGGGTGCCCGCCATTGCTGAGGCTTGAGTAGGTAAACAAAGTGGTGGGGAAGCTCAAATTGGGTGGAGCCCACCACAGCTCAAGGAGGCTTGCCTGCCTCTATAGTCTCCACCTCTGGGAGCAGGGCACAGAAAAACAAAAGGCAGCAGTAACGTCTGCAGACTTAAATGTCCCTCTATGACAGCTTTGAAGAGAGTAGTGGTTCTCCCAGCAGGCAGCTTAACATCTGAGAATGGGCAGACTGCCTCCTCAAGTGGGTCCCTGACCCCCAAGTAGCTTAACTTGGAGGCACCCCCCAGTAGGGATGGAATGATACCTCACACGGCCAGGTACTCCTCTGAGACAAAATTTTCAGAGGAATGATCAGGCAGCAGGATTTGTGGTTCAACAATACCCGCTGTTCTGCAGCCACCGCTGCTGATACCCAGGCAAACAGGGTCTGGAGTGGACCTCCAGCAAACTCCAACAGACCTGCAGCTGAGGGTCCTGACTGTTAGAAGGAAAACTAACAAACAGAAAGGACATCCACACCAAAAACCCATCTGTACGTCACCATCATCAAAGATCAAAGGTAGATAAAACCACAAAGTTGGGGAAAAAACAGAGCAGAAAAACTGGAAACTCTAAAAATCAGAGCACCTCTCCTCCTCCAAAGGAACGCAGCTCCTCACCGCAATGGAACAAAGCTGGACAGAGAATGACTATGAAGAGTTGAGAGAAGAAGGCTGCAGATGACCAAACTACCCCAAGCTACAGAAGGAAATTCGAACCAATGGCAAAGAAGTCAAAAACTTTGAAAAAAAATTAGAAGAATGGCAAACTAGAATAACCAATGCAGACAAGTCCTTAAAGTACCTGTTGGAGCTCAAAACCATGGCATGAGAACTACGTGATGAATGCACAAGCCTCAGTAGCCGATGCAATCAACGGGAAGAAAGGATATCAGCAATGGAAGATGAAATGAATGCAATGAAGCAAGAAGAGAAGTTTAGAGAAAAAAGAATAAAAGAAACGAACAAAGCTTCCAGGAAATATGGGACTATGTGAAAAGACCAAATCTATGTCGAATTGGTGTACCAGAAAGTGATGGGGAGAATGGAACCAAGTTGAAAAACACTCTGCAGGATATTATTCAGGAGAACTTCCCAAATCTAGCAAGGCAGACCAACATTCAAATTCAGAAATAAAGAGAACACCACAAAGATACTCCTTGGGAAGAGCAACTCCAAGACACATAATTGTCAGATTCACCAAAGTTGAAATGAAGGAAAAAATGTTAAGGGCAGCCAGAGAGAAAGGTAGGGTTACCCACAGAGGGAAACCCAAAACCGCTCAACTACATGGAAACTGAACAACCTGCTCCTGAATGACTACTGGGTACATAACAAAATGAAGGCAAAAATAAACATGTTCTTTGAAACCAACAAGAACAAAGACACAACATACCAGAATCTCTGGGACACATTCAAAACAATGTGTAGAGAGAAATTTATAGCACTAAATGCCCACAAGAGAAAGCAGGAAAGATCTAAAATGGACACACTAATATCACAATTAAAAGAACTAGAGAAGCAAGAGCAAACACATTCAAAAGCTAGCAGAAGGCAAGAAATAACTAAGATCAGAGCAGAACTGAAGGAGACTGAGACACAAAAAACCCTTCAAAAAATCAATGAATTCAGGAGTTGGTTTTTTGAAAAGATCAACAAAATTGATAGACCACTAGCAAGACTATTAAAGAAGAAAAGAGAGAAGAATCAAATAGACACAATAAAAAATGACAAAGGTGATATCACCACCAATCCCATAGAAATACATACTACCATCAGAGAATACTATAAACACCTCTATGCAAATAAACTAGAAAATCTAGAAGAAATAGATAAATTCCTGGACACATACACCCTCCCAATACTAAACCAGGAAGAAGTTGAATCTCTGAGTAGACCAATAGCAGGCTCTGAAACTGAGGCAATAATTAGTAGCTTACCAACCAAAAAAAGTCCAGAACCAGATGGATTTACAGCCGAATTCTACCAGAGGTAGAAGGAGGAGCTGGTACCATTCCTTCTGAAACTATTCCAATCAATAGAAAAAGAGGGAATCCTCCCTATTTCATTTTATGAGGCCAGCATCATCCTGATATGAAAGCCTGGCAGAGACACAACAAAAAAAAGAGAATTTTAGACCAATATCCTGGATGAACATTCATGCAAAAATCCTCAATAAAATACTGGCAAACAGAATCCAGCAGCATATCAAAAGGCTTATCCACCATGATCAAGTGGGCTTCATCCCTGGGATGCAAGACTGGTTCAACATATGAAAATCAATAAACATAATCCAGCATATAAACAGAACCAAAGACAAAAACCACATGATTATCTCAATAGATGCAGAAAAGGCCTTTGACAAAATTCAACAACCCTTCATGTTAAAAACTCTCAATAAATTAGGTATTGATGGGACGTATCCAAAATAATAAGAGCTATCTATAACAAACCCACAGCCAACATCATACTGAATGGACAACAACTGGAAACATTCCCTTTGAAAATGGGCACAAGACAGGGATGCCCTCTCTCACCACTCCTATTCAACATAGTGTTGGAAGTTCTGGCCAGGGCAATCAGGCAGGAGAAGGAAATAAAGGGCATTCAATTAGGAAAAGAGGAAGTCAAATTGTCCTCGTTTGCAGATGACATGATGATAGTATATTTAGAAAACCCCATTGTCTGAGCCCCAAATCTCCTTAAACTGATAAGCAACTTCAGCAAAGTCTCAGGATACAAAATCAATGTGCAAAAATCACAAGCATTCTTATACACCAATAACAGACAAACAGAGAGCCAAATCATGAGTGAACTCCCATTCACAATTGCTTCAAAGGGAATAAAATATCTAGGAATCCAACTTACAAGGGATGTGAAGGACCTCTTCTAGAACTACAAACCACTGCTCAATGAAATAAAAGAGGATCCAAACAAATGGAAGAACATTCCATGCTCATGGATAGGAAGAATCAATATCATGAAAATGGCCATACTGCCCAAGGTAATTTATAGATTAAATGCCATCCCCATCAGTCTACCAATGACTTTCTTCAGAGAATTGGAAAAAACTACTTTAAAGTTCATATGGAACCAAAAAAGAGCCCACATTGCCAAGTCAATCCTAAGCCAAAAGAACAAAGCTGGAGGCATCACGCTACCTGACTTCAAACTATACTACAAGGCTACAGTAACCAAAACAGCATGGTACTGGCACCAAAACAGAGATATAGACCAATGGAACAGAACAGAGCCCTCAGAAATAATGCCGCCTATCTACAACTATCAGATCTTTGACAAACCTGACAAAAACAAGCAATGGGGAAAAGATTCCCTATTTAATAAATGGTGCTGGGAAAACTGGCTAGCCATATGTAGAAAGCTGAAACTGGATCACTTCCTTACACCTTATACAAAAATTAATTCAAGATGGATTAAAGACTTAAATGTTAGACCTAAAACCATAAAAACCCTAGAAGAAAACCTAGGCAATACCATTAAGGACACAGGCATGGGCAAGGACTTCATGTCTAAAACACAAAAAGCAATGGCAACAAAAGCTGAAATTGACAAATGGGATCTAATTGAACTAAAGAGCTTCTGCACAGCAAAAGAAATGACCATCAGAGTGAACAGGCAACCTACAGAATGGGAGAAAATTTTTGCAACCTACTCATCTGACAAAGGGCTAATATCCAGAATATACAATGAACTCAAACAAATTTACAAGAAAAAAACAAACAACCCCATCAAAAAGTGGGCGAAGGATATGAGCAGACACTTCTCAAAAGAAGACATTTATGCAGCCAAAGAACACATGAAAGAATGCTCATCATCACTAGCCATCAGAGAAATGCAAATCAAATCACAGTGAGATATCATCTCACACCAGTTAGAATGGCGATCATTAAAAAGTCAGGAAACAACAGATGCTGGAGAGGGTGTGGAGAAATAGGAACACTTTTACACTGTTGGTGGGACTGTAAACTAGTTCAACCTTTGTGGAAGTCAGTGTGGCAATTCCTCAGGGATCTAGAACAAGAAATACCATTTGACCCAGCCATCCCATTACTGAGTATACACCCAAAGGATTATAAATCATGCTGCTTTAAAGACACATGCACAGGTATGTTTATCGCGACACTATTCACAATAGCAAAGACTTGGAACCAACCCAAATGTCCAACAATGATAGACTGGATTAAGAAAATGTGGCACATATACACCATGGAATACCATGCAGCCATAAAAAATAATGAGTTCATGTCCTTTTTATGGACATGGATGAAGCTGGAAACCATCATTCTCAGCAAACTATCACAAGAACAAAAAACCGAACACTGCAAGTTCTCACTCATAGGTGGGAATTGAACAATGAGAACACATAGACACAGGAAGGGAATATCACACACCGGGGACTGTTGTGGGGTGCGGTGAGGGAGGAGAGATAGCATTAGGAGATATACCTAATGCTAAATGACGAGTTAATGGGTGCAGCAAAGCAACATGGCCCATGTATACATATGTAACAAACCTGCACGTTGTGAGCATGTACCCTAAAACTTAAAGTATAATAATTATAAAATTAAACAAAAAAGATTGATGTAGTGGGTGGGGAAGAACATTCTTAAGATACTCCATATCCTCAAAACTCAGATTGACTGGGGAACAATTTGAATGAGTCACCCTGCTGGATATAAAATATTGTCTCTCATTCTATGCTGGTCCGTTATCTTTGGTCAACTTTTTATGTCTTCTCTCTGTTTTTCCTTGGGTTGAGTCTTCTTTTTCTCACAGTAGATTCTATAATCCCTCATGAGAGTAGACTCAGGGTCAGTGTGTCTCATAGACCTTCCATTGAGGCATACCTGAATCCTAAATTAAACACCATGAGTTTCCCAAGCTGAGAACTTTATTACATATTGAGAAGAAATGAAAAACTTCTACATTATTTACTTAAATTGTTTCATTCCACTTCTAATGTTTCATTGCACTTATAATACATTTAAAATATTTCATTCCACTTATAATAGTGTTTTGGCATTTTCAGAGAACATAGCATCACTCTTATTCAAAATATAAATAAAAGTTAAAATTTTTATTTTTACTTAATGTAGCCTTCAATGGCTACATATGAACCTCTAGAGAGCTGTATGTGGCTCCAGGGTCAAATATTGCTAGTCTCAGGCTTGAGAATTATGAGCTCAATTCTCTGTATTGACCTTAGAAAAGCAAAACTGTTATGCTCATCCTACTATGGAGGAATGCCCAAGGCTCATCCTTATTTTCTTCTTAATAATCCTTGAATCACACCTTAGACATACTACTGTCTAGCATTTGAATGGACTTACTTCTCCAAGTAGTTTTCAGCAGAAAACTTCCTGCCCTGAGAAAGTCAGTATTGGGTGTTCTTTGAAAGCTTGGTTATTTTCCCTGACTTATTTATTTCAGAATATCCATACCTTGGGCATATATGTTGCCATTGAAGCAGAAATCCTTTTATTTTCTGTGAGCATTAGACTTTTTGTGTTTAAATTTTTGTTAAAAATAATTGTACAATAGTAGAGATAATAGTATAATGATTCCTTCTTAATGTACTCATCACACAACTTGAATAATTATTAATATTCTAATGTTTTGTTTTATTAGGGTTGGACTTTTTTAAAAAAATTAAATACTTATATGAAATATTTTGCTTTAAATAATATCCTGTAACAGAATTTAATTCTCAGGTATTATTATCCTTATTTCTGAGCAAAAAAAGCAAAGGTTTAAGTGACTTGCACAAGGTTGAAGCATTATAGCAAAGATGAGATTAGACCTCCAGACCGTTGATCCCCTTTCTCATTTTCCTTCACTTGTTTAGTTAAAATAAAGTTACTTTTCTCCTCAAATAAAAGAGAGCTGATTTCATCTTCAGAGTGTTATGCAAAATCTCATCGCTCTTTGAAGAAAAATAATTTAATCTTTCACATACAAAATCTTCATTATTTGCAGTAGCATCCTTTATGCCCAACATTTCAAGGAGTAAAATTGACTTTCTTTGTGCAGTCCCTGTTTGATCAGTAAAATTTGTCACCAGCCTATGACTATGTTTTCTGCTTATGTGACTGTCTAGAGCACCATCTGACAAACTTCAGCTTTAGCAATTCCATGCACAAATATCGCCTTCCCGGGGTTGTTTCAGATCTTCCAGTGTCTGTTTGAGCTGGTCTCCAAAGACTTTTGAAGATTGGTTTGAATTCCTGGCTCCTGGTTGGACTGTCTTTCTTTGCCTGCTTTAGACTGACCTCTGCACACATATTGTACTTGGCAAGTTTTCTGGTTTACCGCTTGGACTGCTCTTTCAGACTTTTCACAATGAACTTCACCTCACAATCTTGATTAATAACTGTAGTTCTCTCAGCTCAGACTCTGGCATGTGGCAGCTTTACCTCATTGGTTTAGACAATAGTAAATTACAGGGATTGGTTATGCTGAAAAAACATAGTGGAGAAGAAAATTTCCTAAGATATTGCTGTTTTACTGACTCCTAATCCCTGCATCTCTCTGCTCTCAATAACATGAATTACTTGGTCCGTGGACTCAACCGTGGTCCCAATCCCTAATACCAACCATGGGCTGAGATAGGAGGAAACTATAAAGCTTCAGCAGGGATCAAATCCCTTTGCCATTTATCTGGTGCCAATTTTATGCCCTAGTTTGGCTAGCACTTTTGCCTTCATTTTCTATGTGATAATTTTTACTTTAGTGCCCCTGCCCTTTTAGACTTTAAAGAAGGCAGCTCACTTCATCGAAAGTCTTGTCCTTGTGACAGGACTACCTGGGACTCTGCCTAGATGCTGACAGTGTTTACTCAAACCAGTTACCTTCTTGGACTTCAGAGTTTCACAGCCAGTTAGATTTCCTATCTCTGCTCTACTGGCTTTATTAGCTAGATATAAATAATAATAATGAATAATAATGGATTACATGAACTGAGTGCTAACCATGTGCCAAAGAATGGCCTATAAACTTTCAAAGTATTAAATTACTTATGCCTCACATCAGGCCTGAGGTAAATAATGTTATTTTGCCTAAACTTCCTGGTATCTGTTACCATATTCTTGATATAAAATCAGCTTCTAGACTAGATTTTCTTAGCACTTGTAGCTGAGTCTATCTCCTTTTTCCCAATCCTTTAACCATCATGCACCCCACTAGTGGTTGTTCTGGTTTCATGTCTTTGCTCCTTTCAGCCTGTCCAAAGTTATTCATATAATAAGATCATGGATATCCATGCTGTGGCATATGACAATGATCCATGTGTCATCTTTCTAGGATGATAAATTAGCTAAAGATTTGGGATTTCTAGTTAGATAAATTGACATTCAAATTCTGGCTCTAGTGCTTTTTAGTTGTGTGATCCTGTGCTCAGTTTTCCTACTGTAAATGAAATTTGCAAGAATAATTATTTTCATAAGGCTATAATGATAATTAAAATAATTTTATATGTGAAGTACTTAACAACATAGTCTTGGCACATAATGATAACTCAAAATGATCGACAACACTAATGTCTTTTGCTTCCTTTTCAGTGTTTTATTGAACATTGGACTCCATCGGATTATGTTCTGTCTTTACTATCCATGGTCTGACAATTGATGCTATCTTCAGAAAAAGAATAATTATTTAGAAACAGAAAATAAATGTTGTTTTGACTTGCGAATTTCCTTTCTCTAACAAAGAAAGGATTCTCTGAACAATAACCCTAATATTCACATACCAGGAATAATGCATTTAGGAAAAAAAAACCAGTTCATTTAAAGTGAATATTTAAGATGCTGATATATTTTGGAGAAAATAAGAACATGAGGATGATTAAAATAGAGTTTAGGATCAATTAGTAGAATGTACAACTTGCCTAAGGGTTACTGCCAAAGGAAAATAACTTTTAAATTAAAATTGAATGTGGCAATAATTAACATTAGTAACTAAAAATGAGAACATATTTAAGAAAGTAATCAAATAGAGACCCAAAAGTCCATGCCTGTTTATTATGTACTTTCATTTTTCTGGTCTCGTTCAATATCTTTAGAGTACCAACGGAATATTCATTTGTTTTTGGTAGTTTCCATATTTCTTAATTCCTGATTATTCTCAATTAGTGAACACATTTATACTAAGAACTTCTATATGTGAAAGTCATTAAGTAAGTATCAGAAGAGACATTAAAAAGCAAAAGAAAGTCTCTGATCTCAAGGACCTTAATGTCTAGACTTAGAGAAGATGTAAAAATATGTGAAAAGCTAAAAAAAATGTACAAAGGAACAAAAATCTAGAAAAAGGTGAGTTGATACAAGATAATGTGATTAGTTGTCTTTATCACAATGAGTGGTGACGGCAATAGGTTCTAGAAAAGTTCAGAGGACAACACATGCACTTAGGCTAAAGTGGCTTGGGAAAGTCTCAGGGTAGGCAGGATTGAAGCTATTTTTGAAGGATAAGTACAATTTGGGCTCTCTCAAACATTTTTAATCTATTTAAATAATTACCTATTCTGGTTTTCTTATTAATGTCCTAACAGTCGCTCAAAGTTTCAAGAGAGCAGAGAAGGATCAAGGGGTTGGAGAATGGGAGCTGTAGGTCTCATAACCTCCAGTTTCTGACTAAACTTACTAAACATCTGTTAGGAATTTTGTAGTATTAGTCCCACACCTCCTTTTTCCACCCTCTCAGAATTGTCCTGGGAATTACCATCTATAAAGCATAGTTTTATTTGTCAATTTCCATAAAAAATGTTTAGGGAAATGGTTGAAATTTACTCATGCCTCAGTCCTCCTGATTGGAAAATGGTCAGCTATCCTAGTCCACAGGAATGTTGGTTCACAAAGAGAGCTGGATACTGTAAAATGTGTATAATGGACTACACATGCTCATTTGTTATTTTCATCATTGCTGACAGTACACAGCTTGCTACTGCTCTTGCATTTTTCATCCATTCATTTTGAGATGCCTAAGCCAGATGCAAATCGTTCCCTTCTTCTCTTCCCTGGGCTCCAGATGCTGTTTACAAGACAGAAAAATGTGTGGTAGGCTCTTTATAACAAGACAGCACTTGCATTTGAATAGTTACATTATGAAAACTCAAGCTTTTCATGTATCGCTTATCAGTTGTTTACTAGGCTATGAACCCTTGGAGGTGAAAACGCCTCTGTTTGGGAAAAGCTGGCATGGACCTATTCATTATTGCTTTATGCTAAGAACAAATTAAAATGCCAGCTATCTCTGGACTGAACCCTGGAAAATGTACACTTTTTGCTCCTGTACGTCTCTTCCTTGGCATCTGAAAATAAAACCAGTTAGTTGAAACAGTGCTTGTTATGGTAAATTAAACTTCTTGAGAGCTTTGAGAATTGAGCTTTAAGTTGTATTTGAAATTCAGAGTGGATTACGTAGTTCTTTAAATAACTCAAAATTATACCAGGTCAGCCCACTTTGTGAGAGCACTCTCAGGCATAAGTGTGATTTCAAATTCCCCATAAAGTGTAAATGAGGATCTGATTTCACATAAATGACACATTTGCCTCAATAGAAAAATTAATTTTATGTCCTATAAGAAGCTGATTAATGATGCTGTCACCTTATATTCTAGCAAAATTCAACATTGCATAAAATAATATTTAATTGAACATCTTAGTTTTCATGAGACTTTTCATGAAATTAGCTGACATGAGATACTAGTGTGTCATTGTCTTATAGGTTACCTTCATTGTAATATAAGGAGAACATTGTAGAGTGCACTTTAATTAAAACAATTGATGTTGATATTTTTATAATCATTAAAATAGATGAAAAAGAAAAATCTACAAATTGTGTGTGTGTGTATATTCTGACAACCAATGAAGAATTAATTGCTCTGATGTAAATAATTTTAATAATAAAAATTGTTGTGTTAGGCCATAATTTAAGAAGTTTTTGCTCTGAATCCAATAATGAAGAAAATATTTTGTGACTTAATGAAAGGCTGTCTTGGTTACAAGTAAAGTTGACCAATTATGAATCGGAACCATAGTATCTTGGTTGAAATAAAATCATAATTCTACAAGTAATATGATGTTATTATTTTCCACAAGGTGCTAAAGTTGTTAACATATTTTTGTATGTTTACTATTTTAAAATTTTGCTAAAAATACTTTGTGGGTAAGAACAGAATAAAAGTACATTCATTGAGAGTGAACTGAAAATATTGAAGGGCATATGCCAAAAATATAAGTAAAGTTTATTCCATGAGAAGTAACCAGAAAAAGCATTACTTTAAAAAGATTTTTATATCTGTCAGTCTTAAATCCTACTCACCTGTTGAGAAGTGTTCAGGCATTCTCACTTTTGCAACTCATCAATGATACATTTTTTCTTGAATTCAAGAGTTTTTTTCCCTTTGGTTCTGTATATGAAGGAATAGTTAGTTATATTGGTAACATTACAACTATTTCCTAAGCAGAACAGCATAATTTTATTAATATTGTCTTTTTGAGGTAATGTAACATTTACAGGAGACCACAAGCCACCAAAGGCCAAGAGCTCTATCTCTTTCTAAATTAGAAATATACTGAAAATCCTCCTTTGTAAGTCTTGTTATTCCTGCTTTTGTACTTCTGGGTTAACTTTGCTTTACATGTGATACCCAATAGAACCATTCTTTTACTTTTTTTTATAGCTTGTATGCTAATCAAGTTATTGTAGAAAAATAAATCAGTCAACTGATGACCAGAACTGCTTTTCATCAGATGGAGGTCAACAATTTTTGGATACCAAATACCCCTATTGTTAAAAGTCCAATACCCACTTGCTATTGAAAAAAAATCTGTTGAGGTGAAGGAATGGGAAATAATTTACTGACAGCTTGTTCTTAGATAAGCTCAGGATGGAATCCTGGTTGCTTGGCTCATAGTTAAAAGCATCATCTCTCCTTACTTGTGGCACCTGAAAATAACCCTATTAAAAATAGGGGCTGGGCATGATGGCTCGTGTTTGTAATCCTAGCACTTTTGGAGGCCAAGGCAGGAGACTTGAGACCAGGAGTTCCAGACCAGCCTGGGCAGCAAAGTGAGACCCTGTCTCTACCAAAAATTTAACAAATTAGCCAGGCATGGTAGTGCACCTGTAGTCCTAGCTACTTGGGAGGTTGAGGCAGGGGGATCACTTGAGTCCAGGAGTTTGAGGCTGCAGTGACATATGATCAAACCACTGCATTCCAGCCTGGGCAGCAGTGAGACCCCATCTTAAAAAGAAATAGATGCTGGCATGTAAAGATTGTTAAATAAAACTGCTTTTTGTTTTCTAAAAATATAAAAATTAAAATTAAGACCTGTCTACAGGATGCAAGTTGAAAGGGCCCCCATCTCACACCAGTCAGAATGGCTACTATTAAATAGTCAAAAAATAACAGATGCTGACAGTTGCGGAGAAAAAGGAATGCTTTTACCCTGCTGGTGGGAGTGTAAATTAGTTCAACTATTTTGGAAATCACTGAGATGATTCCTCAAAGACCTAAAAACAGAAATGCCATTCGACCCAGCAATCCTACTACTGGATATATACCCAGATGAATATGAATTCTTCTCCTGTAAAGACACATGCATGCAAATGTTCATTGCAGCACTATTCACAGTAGCAAAGACATGGAATCAACCTAAAAGTCCATCAATAGTAGACTGGATAAAGAAATGTGGTACATGTACATCATGGTATACTATGCAGGCATAGAAAAGAATAAGATTACGTCCTTTGCAGGAACATGGATGGAACTAAAGACCATTATTCTTAGCAAACTATGTGATGATGAAAATAAATTAAAAAAAAACCATGGGTAAACTCCACACCGATTATTTCAGCCAAGAATCATCAATGGATAAAAATTAGTGGGAAAATCTATTATAAAAACAGGTAAATTGCATGGGTTCAAAGTATCTTTCTATGAAATGTTAATTACAAGAGGAAAAATAGTACCTTTGCACCACAAAAACCCAGTAGGTACCAGTTTAACTAAATTATCAAGGTTAATTTCACCATTAACAAGACATACCAATATCATAGGCCTCTTACTATGATGTGTTAAGAGGGAGACAGACATTGTTTCCGTGATGTTTTTGCCACAAAATTTATAATCTAAATTTGATCTTTAAGAAATATTAGACAAAAGAAAAACGAGAAGAATTCCACAAAATAACTAGCTTTTACTCTTCAAATGCATCATCCTAAAATAAAAAGAAATAATGAGAAACGATTTCAAATTTAAGGAGACTAAAGAGACAGGACAATTAATGCAATGTTTAATCAAATATTAGGTCCTGGATCAGAAAAAGGAAATTAGTGGGACAATTGGCAAAATTAAACAGGTCTGGAGATTAAAGTAATGTATCAGTGTTAATTTATTGATTGTGTCAATTGTAATTTGGTTATGTAATACGTTAACCTTTGGAGAATCTGGGGCAAAGGTATACAAAATCACTTTGGACCACTTTTGCAAGTTTTGTGGGTCTTGAATAATTTCAAAAGCAAAAGCTAAAAAATAAAAGCAAAAATAAGTCTTATTTCATTAAACCTTCATTTGTACAGTCAGGACAAGTAATAAAGTTGCTTTCTAAAGGATTCAGAGCTCAAACCTCCTTAAAGACCTCATCCTTCTGGTATCTCCACTTCTATTGTTCAGATATTTGCTAATGTTTAAAATAACCCCTCACCCCCTCCTCACTGCCATGAAAAACCTTTTCCTCAAGGGAAAATATGACACCTATTTCCCAAAATTGCCCTAGACATAATACTTTCCTATACTTAGTATTTCAGGAAAAAAACAAAACAAAATATGCCTAAACACTCATGGGCCAAGTTTATGTAAGATGTCATTGTCCAAATCATATTGTCTCTCTCCACCCCAAATATGTTTTTTTTTTCTTTTTTTTCTTCAACTTTTAACTTCAGGGATACTTGTATGTGCAGGATGTGCAGGTTTGTTACATAGGCAAATGTGTGCCATGGTGGTTGTTTTGATCCCCCCATATGTCCATGTGTTCTCATCATTCAACTCCCACTTATAAGTAAGAACATGTGTTGTTTGGTTTTCTGTTCCTGCATTAGTTTGCTGAGTATATTGGCTTCCAACTCCATTCATATCCTCGCAGACTACATGATCTTGTTCTTTTATGGCTGCATAGTATTCCATGGTATACTACACTTTCTTTATCCAGTCTATCACTGATGGGCATTTAGGTTGATTCCATGTCTTTGCTATTGTGAATAGTACTGTAGTGAACATACATGTGCATGTATCTTTATAATAGAATGATTTATATTCCTTTAGGTATATATCCAGTAATGGGATTGTTGGGTCAAATGAGATTTCTGTCTTCAGGTCTTTGAGGAATCACTACACTGCAGTGGTTGAACTAAATTACACTCCCACCAACCATGTAAAAGCACATTTTTTTCATATTTTTCAGTTGTCAAGGAATTAAAGCACATTTTAAAGATAAAATGTAGTACGACTAGCAGTCAACTATCTTTTCAGCGAAAAGCTCCTTTGAACAATATTTTAAAATAAAATTTGAGAAAAGATAAACAAGTTAATTACCTTCTCAATGGTGTGATAAAATGAAAAAAGCAGGAATCAACATAGCTTTTTAAAAGATGCTGTTATTGGTAGAATTAAAAGCCAGACATGACAATAATAGTTATAATAATTATCATTGACTGATCAGGTTCTATGTTTTAGTCACTGTGATATTTGCATTATATATGTTTTCTGTTTTGATGTTCAGAATCCTATGAAGCAAGTAGTATTGTTATTCATATTTTGCAGATGAGGTAATCAAGGTTGAAATATTTTTAATAATTCACCCAAGGTTAATATCTAGTAAAATCTTGACTTTATGAACCAAGTTCGGTCTGTCTCTGAAATTCACAAGTTTTCCACTACCCCATACTCACCAAGTTGAGTTCCAAACTGCTGGGTAATAACAACAAGACAGTAAAACAATTCTTATGTTTTATTTGTTTAAATAATTCTAAACATTGGAATATTTGAAACATTTAATGTTTTAACATTATTAAGACACAATATTTAGCTATTTGACTTTGTTTTCTACTTTGTGTAAGGGGGTTTGGTATCTTTTAGAAGATAGACTCGAAGGTAAGCACAAATATTCTCAATAGTGCAATATATCATTAAACACAATATCAGAATTTCATTACTCAACACTTATTCCATTGGATTAGAGAGTTTTCCAGTAATGTCCCATTTGCATAAAAATCAGACTTTCATGTTAATTCGCATTTGGCTATCATCAAGCAAGTAAAACTATATATAAATAGAATATTGGGGGAAAGCATGGCTTGATGAATAGTTAATCGAACACTGGCTTGCTCTTTCCTGGCTGGGAAGAATGGCATTCTTAGACCTCAATCCACTGAAAAAAATTATTAAGAGAATAAAGGACCAAACAAACAGAAACATTTTGTGGACAAAAACAGAAGTTTCATTGAGAAAAGTTGCTTTACTGTTTTTGTAGTGTGGTAGCTGTCAACATCTCAGCATATGATCTCACCAAAACTGTTGAGAGAAAGAAACCCTTTGATTTTCCCCTTGAGATTGAGACTGAAATGGAATCTTTGCAGTCCCAGCTCTATCTCAGATAGTACCCTCTTTTTATATTCTAGTCAGTAGAAAAAAATAATTCTTAAGAAGTTAGTTAAATAAGTTTCATTATTTAAACTTGCTTTCAAGAGAAAAAGAAGGTAAAGTAAATCTTCCACATGCTTTTCTCTTTATTACCAATCTTAAAAGACTAAACGTCACATTTCTTGCATCATTGATAATGCAAATTAGTTTTTTTGTGTGTGTCTCACGTAAGACTATAATTAGAAGTAAATATTTAATGCCCGGATCAGAAAATCAAATCTTACACCCCAGAAATGTGTTATCTAGCTACAGGAAGTTAATGTGAGAAAGATTGCAACTACTGATATTTTTGTTTATTTAGTATTTCTTGGTTTTTATTCACTATCAATGGTTTACTTTGTAACTATATATTAAACAGTAATATATTCCAATACTCTTTTGCTCTCAATTTTCAGGGATGCCAAAAGCATTAAATATTATACATTCAACATTATTAAACAGAAATGAATACATAAGTACAGCATCTGAACTTTAAATTTTACATAATTTCAAAAAGATGAAATGTGGACCATTATTCAGAATGCAATTATAAAAAGAAGTTTATTGACACCAGGTTTTTCAACATATATGTGGTGTCATTTTTATAATTTCATTCTGAATACTGTAATTATAAAAAAGTTTATTGACACCAATAAACTCTTATAAATATATTTTTAACATATACGCATTAAAACACTATGTTGATAAACTCTTTTTAAAACATATATATGAAGTTTTTCATTTTTAATTTTTGGATACATAGCGAGGATTTATATTTATGGAGTAGACGAGATATTTTGTTATAGCCATGTGATGTGTAATAATCAAATCATGAAAATTAGGTGTGCATCTCCTTAAACATTAATTACTTGTGTTACAAACAATCCAGTTATAATATTTTAGTTATTTTTAAATGTACAATAATTAAGTTATTATTGACTAAAATCACCCTGTTTTGCCAAATACTAGGTGTTACTCATTCTATTATTTCTTTGTACCCATTGACAATACCTACCTCCCTCTCAATACCCCACTACCCTTCCCAGCTTCTGGTAACCATTCTTCCATTCTCTATCTCCATGAGTTGAATTGTTTTGATTTTTAGATCCCACAAATAAGTGAAAACATGGTGGTTGCCTTACTGCACCTGGTTTATTTCACTTAACATAATGGCCTTAAGTTTCATCCATATTGTTGCAAATGACAGAATCTCATTCTTTTTTGAGGCTGAATAGTATTCCATTGTGTATATGTACCATATTTCATTTATCCATTCATCTGCTGATGCAAATTTCTGTGGCTTCCAAATGTTGACTATTGGAAACAGTGCTGCAACAAACATAGGAGTGCAGATATCTATTTGATATACTGATTTCCTTTTTTTTTTAATATATGCCCAGCAGTGGGATTGCTGGATCATATGGTAGCCCTATTTTTAGTTTTTGAGGAATCTCCAAATTATTCTCCACAGTGGTTGTACCAATTTACATTCCCAAGAAAAGTGTCTAAGAGTTGCCTTTTCTCTACATTCTCACCAGCATTTGTTTTTGCCTGCCAATTGGATAAAAGCCATTTTAACTCAGGTGAGATGATATTTCATTGTCGTTTTGATCTGCATGTCTCTAATGATTAGTGATGTTGAGCACATTTTCATATGCCTGTTTGCCACTTATAAGTCTTTTGAAAAATGTGTGTTTAAATCTTTTGCACATTTTAAAATCAGATTATTAGATCTTTTCAATATAGAGGTGTTTGAGCTCCTTATATATTCTGGTTATTAATCCCTTGTCAGATAGGTAGTTTGCAGATATTATCTTCCATTCTGTGGGTTTTCTCTTCACTTTGTTCATCATTTATCTTGCTGTGCAGAAGTTTTTTAACTTGATGCAATCCCATTTGTAAATTTTTGCTCTGGTTGCCTGTATTTGTGCGGTATTGTTCATGAAATGTTTGCCCAGACTAATGACCTGGAGACTTTTCCCAATGTTTTATTTTATTCGTGTCATAATTTGAGATATTAGATGTAAGTTTTTAATCCATTTTGATTTGATTTTTATATATGGCAAGAGTAGTTTACTTTTATTCTTCTGCATATGGATATGCAGTTTTTTTCAGCACCATCTATTGAAAAGACTGTCTTTTTCCCAACATATTTTCTTGGCAACCTTGTTAGACACGATAGACATGAATTAACTGTAGGTTCATAAATTTGTTTCTGGGTTCTCTACTCTATTCTATTGGTTTAGGCATCTGTTTTTTTTTTTTTTTTTTTTTTTTTTCTGAGATGGAGTCTCACTCTGTTGCCCAGGCTGGAGTGCAGTGGAGTGATTTCAGCTCACTGCAAGCTTTGTCTCCTGGGTTCACGCCATTCTCCTGCCTCAACCTCTTGAGTAGCTGGGACTACAGGCGCCCGCCATCATGCCCGGCTAATTTTTTTGTATTTTTAGTAGAGACAGAGTTTCACTGTGTTAGCCAGGATGGTCTCGACCTCCTGACCTCGTGATCCACCTATGTCGGCTTCCCAAAGTGCTGGGATTACAGGCGTGAGCCACTGCACCTGGCCTATACATCTGTTTTTATGCCAGTACCATACTGTTTTGGTTACTCTAGCTCTATAGTATAATTTTAAGTTAGGTGATATGATTCATCCAGTTTTGTTCTTTCTGCTCAAGATAGCTATCTTATAATTTGTTATTTAAACTGATGACAACAGAACACTAATTGCATAAATAAATATATGAACACACAAAAATAAAACTAACAAAACTCTACACTTTATTTCTTCCCCTGGTTTTTAACTTTTTCCTTCTCTTTATGTGTAAACATTATATGTCTTCAAAAATTGTTGTAGTTATTATTTTTTATTGGTTCATTATTTGGTCTTTCTACTTAAGACAAGAGTAGTTTACACACCACAATTACAGTGTTATATTATTCTGTGTTCCTCTGTGTGATTACCATTACCAGTCAGTTTGTACCATCAGATGATTCCTTCTTGCTCATTAACATTCTTTTCTTTTATGCTAAAGAGCTCCCTTCAGCATTTCTTTTTTATGAAATTATGAACAAGATTTTAATTGTGGTGTTATTTCCAATAGGAAAATTAAAAACAGTCTAAGTTCCAAAAACAGGAAAATGGGTATCGATATACAGCTTGTAAAATTACAATTTGAAAGGCTGCGTTGATGCAAAATTTACATGACACAATCATAAAGTTTTTTTAAGAGCGGGATACCTAATTATATGTTTTCTGCTTGTAGCCATGTTTTTAAAAGATGGAAATGAAATATACCAAAATACTACAAATTGTTGTGTTAGAGTATCAGAATTTAGGTAATTGTTTTCTCTTTAGTATTTTCCAAATTTCTACCAACATTTAACTTCTGGCTTAAAAAGTTGTGGATAACAGAAATCTTACTTGCTTTGAAAATAGAAAAGGTTGAAAGCGTAAATATGCATAATTATGGGCTTAATCTAAAAGTAAATACAGGATTTTAAATAAATCAAATTTTCCTTTTGTTTGGAAATCATATATTCATGTTGATATACAGTTTAAGTCAAGGTTGTAATTTTTCTGTGAATTTTTTAAAATATTGAGTGTCAGAAGGAAATTATGAGTTGTATACTGAATTATTTGACTCATTTAAGTCAAGTGAAAGTTTCTATTTTGGTAATCATTGCTTTTAGATATTTCAGGCATTTTGGAATTATATTTTTAGGAATGTCAATTTGAGTTCATTTGTGTTACTGAAAGATTACTCTTCAATTTTCTTTTGATCATTGTATTTAATTTCCTAGGGCTACTGTAGCAAATTAACACACATTGGGTGGCTTAAAATAACAGAAGTCTTTATTTTCACAGTTTTGTGTGTCAGAAGTCCCAATTTTTTTAATTTTTATTTTAAGTTCAGGGGTACATGTGCAGGTTTGTTACACAGGTTAACTTGTGTAATGGAAGTTTGTTGTACAGATTATGTTGTCACCCAGTTATTACACCTAGCCCCCACTAGCTATTTTTTCCTGATTCTCTCCCTCCACCTACCCTCCACTCTCAAGATAGCTATCAAGATAGGCCCCAGTGTCTGTTGTTCCCCTGTATGTGTCAAATATGTTCTCATCATTTAGCCCCTACTTATAAGTGAGAACATGCGGAATTTGGTTTTCTCTTCCTCAGTTAGTTTGCTAAGTACAATAGCATCCACCTCCATTTTTGTTCTTGCAAAGGACATGATCTCTCTCTCCTCTATGGATGCTATGAATGCATAGTATTCCATGGTATATATGTACTATATTTTCTTTATCTAGTCTACCATTAATGAGCATTTAGGCTGACTCCATGTCTTTGCTATTGTGAAAAGTGCTGCAACGAACATACAAGTGCATGTGTCTTTATGGTAGAATAATTTATATTTTGGGCAGCATATACCCAGTAATTGGATTGCTGGGTTGAATGGTAGTTTTGTTTTTAGTATTTGAGGAATCACCAAACTGTTTTTCACAATGTTGAAATAATTTACATTCCCACCAACAGTGTATAAGTGTTCCTTTTTCTCTGTAACCTTGCCAGCACCTGTTAATATTAACTTTTAAATAATAGCCATTCAGACCAGTGTGGGAGTTTATTTTTGTATATGGTGTAAAGAAGGAGTCCAGTTTCAATTTTCTACCTATGTATCTCATTTTGGTTTTGATTCACATTTATCTAATGATCAGTGACATTGATCTTTTTTTTTCATATGCTTGTTGGGCACATGAATGTATTCTTTTGAAAAGTGTCTGTTCATGTTCTTTGCCTACTTCTATTTTTCCTTTTTTTTTTTTTTTTTTTTTGAGATGGAGTCTTGCTTTGTCACCCAGGCTGGAGTGCAGTGGTGAGATCTCGGCTCACTGCAACCTCCAGCTCCTGGGTTCAAGCAATTCTTCTGCCTCAGCCTCTGAAGTAGCTGGAACTACAGGCATGAGCCACCACGCCCAGCTAACTTTTTGTATTATTAGTAGAGATGGGGTTTCAACATGTTGGCCAGGCTGGTCTTGAACTCATGACCTCAGGTGATCTGCCTGCTTTGGCCTCCCAAAGTTCTGGGATTACAGGCATGAGCCATAGCATTTGGCCTCTTACAGACGCTGGATATTAGACCTTAGTTGGAGGAATAGTTTGCAAAAATTTTCTCCTAATCTGTAGGTTTTCTTTTTGCTCTGTTGACAGTTTATTTTTCTGCACAGAAGCTCTTTAATTTAATTAAATCTCGTGTCAATTTTTGTTTTTGATGCAATTGCTTTTGGTATCTTTGTCATAAAATCTTTGTCAGGTCCTATGTCTAAAATGGTATTGCCTATGTTGTTGTCCAGGATTTTCATAGTCTTTGGTTTTACAATTAAATCTTTACTTCATCTTGAGTTTATTTTTGTATATGGTGTAAGGAAGGAGTCCAGTTTCAATTTTCTACCTATGGCTAGCCAGTTATCCCAGCACCATTTATGAAATAGGGATTCATTTCCCCCATTGCTTGTTTTTGGCAGCTTTGTCAAAGGTCAGATAGTTGTAGGTGTGTGGCTTTACGTCTGGGCTCTCTATTCTGTTCCATTTGACTATCTGTTTTGGTTTTGTACCAGTACCATGCTGTTTTGGTTATTGTAATACTGTAATATAGTTTGAAAACAGGTAGCATGATGCCTCCAGCTTTGTTCATTTTGCTTAGGATTGCCATGGCTATTTGGGCTCTTTTTTGGTTCCACATGAATTTCTGAATAGTATTTTCCAGTTCTTTGAAGAATGTCACTGGTAGTTTAATAGGAATAGCACTGAATCCACAAGTTGCTCTTGGCAGTATGGCTATTACACTGATATTGATTCTATCCATGAGCATGAACTGTTTCTCCATTTATTTGTGTAATCTCTGATTTATTTGAGCCATGTTTTGTAGTTCTCCTTGTATATAGATCTGTCTTCTCCTGGGTTAGCTGTATTCCTAGGTATTTTAATCATGTTGTAGAAATTGTGAATGTGATTGTGTTGCTGAGTTGGTTCTCAGCTTGGCTGTTCTTAATGTATACAAATCCTAGTAATGTTTGTACATTGATTTTTCATTGTTTATCAGCTTACAGTGCCTGGGGTCAAGAATCTCATAGGTCCTTTAGACATAGGATCATACCATCTGCCATCAGGCATGTTTGACTTTCTCTCTTCTTATTTGGTTGCCCTTATTTCTTTCTCTTGCCTGGTTGATCTGGGCAGGACATCCAATACTATGTTGAATAGCAGTGATGACAGAGAGCATCCTTGTTGTGTATATATTTTCATGGAGAATGCTTCCAGGTTTGCCAATTCAGTATGATGTTAGCTGCAGGTTTGTCATATATGGATGTTATTATTTTGAGGTATATTACCTCAGAGCCTAGCGTATTAAGAGTTCTTAACTTGAAGAAGTTTTGAATTTTATCAAGAGCCTTTTCTGCACCTATTGAGATAATTATGTGGTTTTTGTCTTTAGTTCTATTTATGTGATGAATCACATTTACTGATTTGCATGTGCTTATCCAATGTTACATCTCATGGATAAAAGCCTACTTGATCATGGTGGATAAGCTTTTTCACGTGCTGCTGGATTTATTTTGTTAGCATTTTATTGAGGATATTTACATTCATGTTCATCAAAAATATTGGCCTGAAATTTTTATTTTTTGTTGTATCTCTGCCAGCTTTTGGTATTAGCATGATGCTGGCCTTAGATAATGCTTAGGAAGGAGTCCATACTCCTCAATTATTTGGAATAGTTTCAGTAGAAATGGTACCTGTTCTTATTTATACATCTGTTAGAATTTGGCTGTGAATCTGACTCATCCTGGACTTTTTTCTGGTTGGTGGGCTATTTATTACTGATTCAATTACAGAACTCATCATTGGTCTGCTCAGGCATTCAATTTCTTCCTGTGGATCCAACTCATCCTGGACTTTTTCTGGTTGGTGGGCTATTTATTACTGATTCAATTTCAGAACTCATTATCGGTCTGCTCAGAGATTCAATTTCTTCCTGGTTGAATCTGGGAGGTTATGTGTTTCCTGGAATTTGTCTGTTTCTTCTAGGCTTTCTATCTTGTATGCATAGAGCTGCTTGTAGTAGTCTCCAATAACTTTTAAAAATTTTTGTGGGGTTATTAGTAATGCCCCCTTTGTCATTTCTGATTTTATTTAGTTGTATCTGCCCTGTTTTCTTCTTTGTTAATCTAGCTGGCTGTTTAGCTGTCTTATTTTTTCTTTTTAATAACCAACTCCTGGATTCATTGATTATTTTTAGGGTTTTTTCATCTCACTTTCATTCAGGTCAGCTCTGATTTTGGTTATTTATTTTATTCTGCTAGCTTTAGAATTTGTTTGCTTTTGTTTCTCTAATTACTATAGGATTAATGTTAGGTTGTTAGTTTGAGATGTTTATACATTTTTTATGTGGGTATTTAGTGCTATAAACTTTCCTCTTAACACTACTTTAGCTGTGTTTCAGAGATTCTGTTATGTTGTATCTTTGTTTTCATTAGTTTCAAACAATTTATTAATTTTCTTCTTCACTTACTTGTTTACCCAAAGGTCATTCAGAAGCAGATTTTTTATTTTCCAGATAATTGCATGGCTTTGAGCAATTTTCTTTATATCCATTTCTACTTTCATTTTGCTGTGGTCCAAGTGTGTGTTTGGTGTCATTTCAATGTCTTTGATTTTGCTGAGGCTTGTTTTATTTTTGATTGCATAGTCAATATTATGGTATGTGTAAATGAGAAGAATGTATATTCTGTTGTGTTTGGCAATGAGAAAAATGTATATTCTGTTGTGCTTGAGTGGAGAGTTATGTAGATGTAGATTAGGTCAATTTGGCCAAGCATTGCACTCAGGTTCTGAATATCTTTGTTAGCTTACTGCCTTGATGATCTATCTAATACTCTCAGTGTGGTGATTATGTATCCCACTATTACTGTGAGAAAATCTAAGCCTCCTTTTAGGTCTTTAAGGACTTCCTTTATAAATCCAGGTGCTCCGACTGAGAGACAGGACTGGCTGGATTTCATAGGCCAACTAAGAATCCCTAAGCTTAGCTGGGAAGGTGACCACATCCACCTTTAAACATGGGGCTTGCAACTTACCTCACACCCGACCAATCAGGTAGGAAAGAGAGCTCACTAAAATGCTAATTAGGCAAAAACAGGAGGTAAAGAAATAGCCAATCATCTATCGCCTGAGAGCACAGTGGGAGGGGCAATGATCAGGATATAAACTCAGGCATTCAAGCCTGCAAAGGCTACCTTCTTTGGGTCCCCTCCCTTTGTATGGGAGCTCTGTTTTCACTCTATTAAATCTTGCAACTGCAAAAATAAATAAATAAATAAATAAATAAATAAATAAATAAATAAAATAAATCCAGGTTCTCCTATGTTGGGTGCATATATATTTAGAAGAGTTAGGTCTTCTTGAACTCTTTATGTAATGCTCATTTTTGACTTTTTGGATCTTTTTTGTTTTAAAGTCAGTTTTGTCTGAAATTGGGATTGCAACCCCTGTTTTTTCTGTTTTCAGTTTGCTTTGTTGATTTTCCTCCATTTCTTTATTTTGAGCCAATGAGTGTCATTGCATGTAAGATGAGTCTCCTGAGGACAGCATACCAATGGGTCTTGGTTCTTTATCCAGCTTGCCACTCGGTGCCTTTTAATTAAGGCATTTAGGCCATTTACATTCAAAGTTAGTATTAATATGTGTAAATTTGATACTGTCATTAAGGTATTAGCTGGTTTATATGCAGACTTGTTTGCATATTATGTGGCTGCTTTATAGTGTCAATGATCTGTGTACTGCAGTGTGTTTTTATAGTGGCTGGTAATGGCCTTTTCTATCCATATTTAGTGCTTCCTTTAGGAGCTCTTCTAGGGCAGACCTGGTAGTAACAAATTCTCTAAGCATTTGATTGTCTGAAAAAGGATCGTATTTCTCCTTCACTCGTGAAGCTTAGTTTGGCCAGATATTAAATTCTGCGTTTGAATTTCTTCTCCTTAAGAATTTTGAATATTGGTTCCTAATTTATTCTGACTGTAGGGTTTCTGCTGAATGGTCCACTGTTAGTCTGATAGGTTTCCTTTTTTAGATTGCCTGTCCTCTTTCTCTAGCTGCCTATAACAGTTTTTCTATTATTTTGACCTTGGAGAATCTGATTATTATGTTCCTTGGGGATGATCTTCTTGTGAAGCATCTCACAGGGGTTCTCTGCATTTCCTGAATTGGAATGTTGGCCTCTCTAGCTAGGTTAAAAAAGATTTCATGGATGGTATTCTGAATTACGTTTTCCAAGTTGCTTACACTCTCCTCATCTTTTTCAGGGATGCCAATGAGTCATAGATTTTTTTTTTTACATAATCTCATATTTCTCAGAGGTTCTGTTCATTGTCTTTTATTTATTTTTCTCTATTATTATCTCACTGTTTTATTTCAGAAAGCCAGTCTTTGAGCTGTAAGATTCTTTCCTTTGCTTCGTCTATTCTGCTATTAATACTTGTGATTGTATTATGAACGCTTTTGGTGTGTTTTTTCACTCTATCAGGTCAGTTACATTATTTTCTACACTAACTATTTTGTCTGTCAGCTCCTGCATTGTTTATTATTCTTAGCTTCCTTGAATTGGATTTTAATGTGTTTTCGCATCTTAGTGATCTTGGTTCCTATCCATATTCTGAATTCTGTTTCTGTCATTTCAGCCATCTAAGCCTGGTTCAGAAAGCTAGCTGGAGAGGTGGTATGGTCATTTGGAGGAAAAAAGGCATGCTGGCTATTTGAGTTGTCAGGGTTTTTTTGCTGATTCTTTCTCTTCTTTGTGAGATGGTGTTCCTTCAATCTTTGAAGTTTCTGAACTTTAGGTGTCTTTTTTAATCCCATTTGATGACCTTGAGGGTTTTATTGTGGTATAAGGTGAATTCAGCTGACTGGCTTCATTTCTGGAAGATTTTATGGGGCCAAACACTCAGCTCTAAACCCCTGGACTGCCTGTTCTAACTCTGGCAAACTTGCCTTTGTTCTCTTCCTCCTCAAGTCTGGAAATCCACTGTGCTGGGGAGACAAAGTGTTTCTGGACTGCTGTTCACTACACTTTCATGGGTGATGAAGGCAAAGCAATTCATAACGCAGTGATAGTAGGATCTGTCCTTGTTTGCATGTTCCAGCAGCAGCAGGGCAGTGCGCACGCTTTTCAGAATGGCAGGGTGCTAGTGGCTGCTGAGGTGCCTTCCTTTGTGCTAGGGTTTATCACAATGGCAGAGGCAATGTGGTTCAGCAGGTCTGGGATCCCCTGCTGGTGACTGTGTGCACAGACGCCCTCTTGGTGGTGTTGGCACAAGGAGGAGCTCTGGCAGATGCAGGTTCATGTACACTCTGTGCACTGCAGGTTGGGAAGGGCACTCAGGATAGTCTGAGTGACTACCTAGTTTTACTCCCCTGGCAGTGTTGGCAAAAGGGTGGGGCTGACTGACCCTGTGCATGGAAAAACTGACTGCAGTGGTCATTGGTGAGGGGAAGGAGAGTGGACTGCACACTCGCTGCAGCAGGGGCAAGGCAAGGTGCATACACATACCTGCACTGAAGGGACAAAAAATGCAAAACCATGTCACACACACATATGCTGGCAAAGTGATGAGTGGGGTTACCATGGTCCCAGGGGAAGCTGCAATGTGGGCAGGGAGAAAATGAGCTGGTGCATGCCCATGGGGCTGCCTTGCTTGAGCTCCCTGCTAGTCAGGTACAGTCCACCAGTGCAGGAAATATAATGTGGGTCTTGAGGGGCCCTGAGGCTGCCCTGCAAGCAGGCACAGCCATGTTGGGGCCCTGGGAGAGGCCTGAAGACCAAGAGGTGCTCAGGTTGAATTGGCCACGTCTGATGAGAAAGATCACTTTGCAAAATTTAGGTCTGACTGTTCCCCTAGGGCTTAAGTCTCTTATAAGAGCAAGTTGACCCTAGGAGAATGGCCACTCCAGTCCATGCTCTGCTACAGATACTCTCGCATCAAACCCTCTGGGCTCCACATCAACTGCCTTGCTGTCCCTACCACTTCTCTAAACAGCTCTCCCTGCCAACCAGAGTTTCCATGGTGGTAAAAGGGTGTCCTCTTGCCAGGATTCCAGAGGCCTGTGGCCAGGGTAAGTTGCTCCTTGTCAGTTCAACTCACCCATTCCTCTGGAGTCACTGGGACAAGAAGAGTCTCAGTACATGATAACCACATGCAGGGTTCCAAGCTTCCTCCTCCTTCAGCTCAGCTTCTGTGTCTTTCCTTTGCCCACCCTCGGTGCCTTCCCTCTGAAGATCTGTTAGAAATGCTCCAGTCATCTCAGTTCCTTGGTGGCAGCTATTCCACTGGGCTTGATCTAGTAAGCCATCTTTCCCTCTCAACTCTCTTTATCATTTCTTGCAGGAAAGGTTTCGTATTGATGAAATCCCTTAGCATTTGTTTGTCTGGGAAGCTATCTATTTCTCCTTCACACTTGAAGGATATTTTTGCCAAATAAATTATTCTAGGGTAAAAGTTATTTTCTTCAGCACTTTGTATATCTGAATATATAAAGAATATCTTGGAGCCGGGTGCGGTGGCTCATGCCTGTAATACCAGCACTTTGGGAGGCTAAGGCGGGCGGATCACGAGGTCAGGAGATTGAGACCATTCTGGCTAACACGGTGAAACCCCGTCTCCACTAAAAATACAAAAAAATTAGCCCGGCATGGTGGCACACACCAGTAGTTTCAGCTACTCGGGAGGCTGAGGCAGGAAAATGGCATGAACCTGGGAGGTGGAGCTTGCAGTGAGCCGAGATCGCACCACTGCACTCCAGCCTGTGTGACAGAGTGACACTCCATCTCAAAAAACAAACAAACAAACAAACAAAGAATATCTTGGATAACATCTGAAAGAATTCCCTGGATTACAAGGCAGAGATTCTTCTTTTCTTTATTTTTTCCCAAACAAATAGAGTCTCTCTGTCTGTGCTGAGCCACCTGGAACTGGAGGTATGATGACTCAAGCATCACTCTGTCCACCAACACTGAGATAGTGCTGGGTAACACCTGAAGCCAGCACAGCACTGGGTCTTGCCCAAGGCAACTTCCCTTCACAGTGACGAGCTCCCCAGAGTCCCAGAGTCCCAGGCTTGTCCAGTGATGCTGTCTGGGAGCCAGATTTTGGAGTCTAAAATGTTGGGAATTTACCTTCTATTCTATTCTACAATGAATTGTGGTTAAGATGACAGTCAGACTACAATACCAACTCCTTCCCACTCTTTCCTCCCCTTTCTACAGGCAGAGAAACTTCTGCTTGTTTCTGCCACCACCACTGCTCTACCAGGGCTTCTGCCAGGCCACTGGCAATGTTCGCTTCAAGTCCAAATATTCTTCCATCACGTTGAGGTAAATTCAGCCAGGCTTGAGACTCATGCTTCAGGAAACTGTGCTCCCCTCTGACCAAGGGCAGGTCTAGAAATGCTGTGCAAGAGTCCAGGCCTGGAGTCAAGGACCCCAAGAGCCTGCTTGTTGCTCTACCTTATTGTGACCGAGCTGGTACCTAAGGTGCAAGACAAAGTTCCTTTTAGTCTTCTCTGTTCTTCTCAAACAGAAGGAGTCTTTCCTTGTAGCCACCACAGCTGTGAATTTGCTGGGTTACCCTGAAAGCCAGTATGTCTCACAGCCCAAGGCCCATGGTGTACAACCTATGTATCACTACCGGTCATTCGGGGCCCAAGGGTTCTTTAGTCAGAAGATGATAAATCCTGCCAAGATTGTGTCCTTCCTTTTAAGTCACAAGGTTCCCTTTTGGCTCAGAGTGTGTCTAGAAATGCCATCTGGAAGCTAGGGCCTAAAATAAGGTCCTCATGACTCTGCCTCGTGCCCTATTCTACTGTGGTTGAGCTTGTATGTAGGATGCAAGACAAAGTCCTCTTTACTCTTTGCTCTTCCCTCTTTAAGCAGAAGGAGGAAGTGACTTCTTGTGGTGAGCTGCACTACCTGGGGATGGGGGAGGGATGGCACAGCACTCACTTAACTGCACCAGGTGGTGTCTCCTTAGGTCACATGCCATCCTAGTTCACAGGCTGTAAGCCCAGCATAGCACTAGGTGTTGCCTAAGAATTGCAGTTCTTCAATGAGAACACATGGACACAGGAAGGGGAACATCACACTCCAGGGACTGTTGTGGGGTAGGGGGAGGGGGGAGGGATAGCATTAGGAGATATGCCTAATGTTAAATGACGAGTTAATGGGTGCAGCACACCAACATGGCACATGTATACATATGTAACAAACCTGCACATTGTGCACATGTACCCTAAAACTTAAAGTGTAATAATAATAAAATTAAAAAATAAAAAAATAAATGAAATGCTCTCAGGCAAAAAACTGCCAAAAAAAAAAAAAAAAAAGAATTGCAGTTCTTGTGTCCCGGACTGCCTTTCAAGTTTACCTAGGACCCCAGAGCACTTCAGCCCATTGTGGCAAGGTTTGCAGATAAAGTCAAGTCCTGATTGCTGTGCTGGGTAACTCCCCTGTGGCTAGGGCTGGTAAAAATGTTGCTTTCATGTGTGGGCACTGGTTGAACCCAGTATGACCTTATTCTCTACTGAGAATAAGAATAAGAGCAGCACTGAGTTCAATGTAAAGTCCCCCAAACTTGATGCACTCTTCCTACCCAAAGTGCACACATTCACTCTCTTCACTGCATGGCCATGCTAGTTAATAGGGAAGGAGTGATGTAGGTGATTCCAGCCTGTCTCTTCTGCTCTTATCAATTCCTCTTTCAGCAATATGAAATTAATCAGGTACTGTGATTGCTTTCCTTATTTTTGGTTCTTGTGAAGGTACATTTCCTTGTGCATATAGTTGTTAACATTTGTTATTCCAGTGGGGGGAAAATAGCATAGGTTTCTCTTCTGCCGTATTTCTCTATCCATCCTATATATTTTTTACTTTCAGTAGTTTTGGGGGCACAAGTGGTTTTTGGTTGCATGGTAAATTACATTGTGGTGAAGTCTGAGATTTTAGTGCACTCATCATCCCAGTAGTGCACATTGTACCCAACATGTAGTTTTTTTATCCCTCACTTTCTTCACATCCCCTTCTGATTCCCAGCATATATTATATCACTCCATATGCCTTTGTGTACCCATAGCTTAGCTCCCACTTATAAATGAGAACATACAGTATTTGGTTTTCCATTCCTGAGTTACTTTACTTAGTATAATAGCCTCAAGCTCCATACAAGTTCCTTCAAAAGACATTATTTTATTCTTCTTATAGTTGAGTAGTATTCCCTGGTGTATACACACCACATTTTCTTTACCTATACAACAGTTGATGGGCACTTAAGTTGGTTCAATATCTTTGCAATTGTGAGTTGTGCTGCAATAAACGTATGTGTGCCAGTGGGTTTTTAATGTAATGACTTATTTTCCCTTGGGTAGATACCCAGTAGTGGGATTGCTGGAAAAAATGTTAGATATATTGTTAGTTTTTAAAGTAAATATCCATACTGTTTTCCATAGAGGCTACCTTAATTTACATTTGCACCAGCAGTGTGTAAGGGTCTCCTTTTGACCACATCCACACCAACATCTATTTTTTTGACTTGTTAATAATGGCCATTCTGGCTGGGGTAAAATGGCATCTCATTATGATTTTAATTTGCATTCACCTGATGATTAGTGATGTTGAGCATTGTTTCATATGTTTCTTGGCCATTTATTTTCTTTTGAAAAATGTCTATTCATGTAACTTGCTCAGTTTTTAAGTGGGAATATTTGGTTTTATTTCTTGCAGATTTCTTAGAGCTCCTTATAAATTCTGAATATTAGTCCTTTGTCAGATGCATAGTTTGCAGATATTTTCTCCTATTCTTTGTGTTGTCTGTTTTCTTTGATGATTATTTCTTTTGCAGTGTAGAAGCTTTTTAGTTTAATTAGGTTTTATTTATTTATTTTTGGTTATGTTGCATTCACTTTTGGGGTCTTGGTCATAACATTGCCTAGGACATTGAGCAGAAGTGTTTTTTCTCTAGGCTTTCTTGTGTAATTTTTATGATTTCACAACTTGGATTTACGTCTTTGATCCATCTTGACTACATTTTTGTAAATGATGAGAGATAGAGATCCAATTTCATTCTTCTACATGGGGCTATCCAGTTTTCCTAGCACCATTTATTGAATAGGGTTTCCGTTTCACAATTTATGGGATTTTTTATGCTTTGCCAAAGTAATATAATATCTTCAGATTTTTTCCTTATACTTAGGATTGCTTTAACTATTCAGGCTCTTTTTCGGTTTCCTATGGATTTCAGGATTATTTTTTCTAATTCTGTAAGAAATGATGTAAATCTTTTGATTGGAATTGCACTGAATCTATAGATTTCTTTGGGCAGTACGGTCATTTTCATGATATTCCATATTAAATCTTCCAATCTGAGAGCATGTAATGTATTTTTATTTGTTTATGTCTTCTGATTATTTTCAGAAGTGTTTTGCTGTTCTCCTTGTAGAGATCTTTCACTTCCTTGGTTAATTATAATCCCAGGATAATTTTTTGCAGCTATTATAAAACGGTTTTCATTCTTTATTTGAGAATGTTTAGTGTACTAATGAGGAGAGTGTATATCTGCAGTTCTTGGGTAGAATCCTTTGTAAATATCTGATATTATGTGTTCTGATATGTGTTCTAGAGAATAGTTTAAGTTCAATGTTTCTTCATTGACTTTCTGCCTCAATGATCTGTCTAGTGCTGTCAGTAGAGTATTTAAGTTCTCCACTATTATTATGTTGCTGTCTATCACTTTCCTTAGGTCTAGTAGTAATTGTTTTATGAATCTGGTAGCTCCAGAGTTAGGCGCATATATATTTAGGGTGATAATATCTTGTTGAATCGATCCTTTTATCATTATATAATGAGCTTTTTGTCTTTTTGTACTGTTGTGGCTTTAAAATCTGTTTTTTTCTGTTATAAGAATAGCAGCTCCTGCTTGCTTTTGGTTTTTATTTGCATGGAATATATTTTCCACCTTTTAGCTTGAATCTGTATGAATCCTAACATGTTAGATGAGTCTATTGAAGACAGCAGATAGTCGGTTTGTGACATTTTTTGTTTACTAAGACAATCTGTATCTTTTAAGTGGAGCATTTAGTCCATTTACATTCCATGTTAATATTGAAATGTAAGGTACTGTCCCAGTCATGTTGTTTATTGTTACCTAAATATTTTGTTTTCCTCATGTCGTATTGTCTTATAAGCCCTGTGAGTTTTATGATTTAAAGAGGTTCTATTCTGGTGCATATTGACCTTTTTTCAAGCCTTTGTACTCTTCTTAGCATTTTTTGTAGGGCTAGTGACAAATTCCCTCAGTATTTGCTTATCTGGAAAAGACTTTGTTTCTCCTTCATTTATGAAACTTAGTTTTGCTACGTACAGAATGATTGGTTGGCAGTTATTCTGTTTAAGAAGGCTAAACATAGAATCCCCAATTCCTCTGGCTCATAAAGTTCCTGCCGATAAGTCTGCTATTAGTCTGATAGATTTTTTCTTCATTGATTACCTAATATTTTTGCCTCAGTGTTCTTAGAATTATTTCCTTCATGTTGACTTTAGATAGTCTGATGAGTATTTCCCTTGGTGATGTCCGTTTTGCAATAAATCTCCCAGGATTTCTTTGAGCTTCTGATATTTTGATGTCTAAATCTCTAACAAGGCCAGGGAAGTTTTTCTCACAGATAAGTTTTCCAAACTTTTTTTTTTTCTCCCTTGGGAACACCAATGATTTTTATACTTAACCATTTTACATAATCCTATATGTTGTAGAGACTTTGTCCATTTAATTCTTTTTTTGTTTGTTTTTGTTTGGTTGGGTTAGTTAAAAAGTCTTGTCTTTGAGCTCTGAAATTTTATCATTCACTTTTTCTAGTCTATTGGTGTAACTTTCCATTGCATTTTTTAATTCCCTAAATATGCCTTTTATTTTCAGAATTTCTGATATTTTTTCTTTAAAATATCTGTCTCTTTAGAAAAGTTTTCATTCATACCCTGAATTGTTTTCTTAATTTTTTTATGTTGATTTTCACCCTTCTCTTCTATGTTCTTTTTGATAGAGATACATTTTGTCTGGTATTTCAAAAATTTCGTCTTTGGTTGAATCGATTGCTAGAGAGCTATTGTGATCTTTTGGGGGTGTTGTAGAACCCTATTTTGTCATATGGCCAAAATTATTTTTCTGGTTCCTTCTCATTAGGATAAACTATTTCTTCTAATTATTTTTGAATTTATTTTTGATATGATTGTGATTTTTCAAAATTTTCCCCCTTGGCACTGTGACTTTAATGTTTATAGCTGATTGTAATATAAGTCAGATCTGTGTGCTTTCAGAGATGAAGGCTCTGTATGAGTTCCTTGACTATACAGAATATTTGCATGGTGGCTTTCAAAGGTGTTTGTTGCAGTTGAAATGTGCTCAGAGTGTGTTTAGTTTAACTGTCTCCTGTGGGGTTGTAATGGCAGAAGTCTCTTAAAGCTTATCTTGTTCCCCAGTGGTGTGTATGTTTTTATTTATTTATTTTTTCCCCAGTGTCTTATTTATTGGGCTGAACAGTTCAGGCTTCAGGCCAGTAAGGGAAGTGTCCGTGGGTAAAAACTGTCTGTGGTTAAAGCAAGTTGGTAAATGCAATAACCAATGATGAGCAGAGGTCCTAACCTTGACAGAGGCAGCTGGGGGAGCTCTCAGTGAAACACATTGGTCTTTTCAGAGGTAAGGAAGGGAGCCACCTCAGCTTCTCTGGCAAGCCAATAGGAAAGCAATCCATCTCCCAGTCATACTCCTGACCCAGTGTTCTGGCTATTCATATCAGACAGGGACCACTTTTCATTTGCAGTAGTGCTGATGCTCCATGTATAGAGGGATTATGACTCTACCTTTCATGAAAGTGAAAACCTGGAAGGCACTCCTCCTGTGGGAATGCAATCACTCTAAAGTGTTCTAAAAAGACTACCTACATGTGTACCCACACTGAGCTCACATGGAGAATTGCCACCTCTGTCTGCAGTGGTGGATGAGAGGGAGAAATCTCCTTGAGCTTAGCACTACAACTGTCACTCTACTGAAAGATACTTCCCACAAGTGGAAAGTTCTGGGTCTCAAGGCCTGCTGTCTGCATTCTTTTGTACCATGGGGTGCTCCCTTGATGTGGTATAGTACCCCTTCCCCTAGGAGTAGGAGTCCCTGAGGGCCAGACTAATGAGTGATGCTTCTCCTCTGAGTCTAGCCACCCACTGTGGCAGCCAAATTCTAGGCTGGTGGTGGGGAATGCCCACAAGGGGTCCAGTGATGAGACCTTTTCTCAAGACTCCCAACAGCTGGTTCCAACACCTGCTCTGATGGGAGTGGGAGGGGAATGATATAGACTGTGTGAGATTACTTTGTTATAAATAGCTTTAGTGTATTGGCTTTCTCAAATGCCAGTTATAGTAGTAATAAACGGGTCATGTGGAGAGACTCAGGAAGCCCTGGCTAGTCAGGGTGATGCAGGCAATGGTGATAGCTGAGGTCATGCACAAGCTTTTTTCTTTTTCTTCCTGCATGGTGTTATTGTGCCTGCAGATGCCATAATAGACTGTGACAGTTGGCTTCTACCCAGGTGGTGGTGCCTGCAAAAGGCCACCAGTTGCAGTGGTAGCAGTGCGATTTGTCTTGCCTTATGTTACCCAGGGGTGGTACTCTGGTGACTCAGGCAATTGCTGAGGCCATTGAGCTCCCAAAAGATCTGTCCTTTCTGTTAAACTACCAGGGTGGTTGGAGGGGCAAACTTACCTAGAGGTTGGGTCCGGCGAGTCCATACTCTGGCTCTCCTTGTGTGCTCAAAAGCAGCAGCCCCCATGGGGATCAGAAAGTGGTTCTCTGGCCCCAGGGGTAATGTTCCAGAAAGGAGTGCAGCTGCTTCTGCTGTACAGAAAAGCCTGTAAAGGGAGCTGGGGGTAGCAGGTAATAGTAAACCCTAACCAGCTCCCATACACTTGGCAAGGAAGGTCTTGCACCCACAGTGTTCCACTAACAGCAGCTAAGTAGTTTCTAAGCAGTCTGCACTCAGAACTTAAAATTGCCCCAGGCCATACACCTTCCCCAAGGACACAACACCCATGGCTTACAGGCCATGCCCCTTGTGATCTGCCTACAAAGCAAGGGCACCCAGTTCCTGCATCTGTGGCTGCAGCACACTTCCCACTTGTCCCTCAGTTCTGCCCAAAGTGTTTTGTCCTTACTCATAATTATAACACAAATTTCATTTGGGAGGTTCTCTCTGCCTGTGACCACTTCCTGGGTTAGCTGTAAAATTTTCACAAGGACCCCTGTTTGGTAGAATAGTGAATGGCTTCCCTCAATTCCTTCTGGATACTGGAAATGCACACAAAGCGTGTCCCAATGTCACATTTTTTTTTTTCATATACTCCCCACTGCTCACTAAATTAGCTCCAATGCTGGATCAGAGTAAAGACTTCCCTCATGGCCTGAATTGCTAGGTTCCCTGTTGGTAGTGTATACTCTGGAGGCAGTTTGTCCTCCTCTCACATTCTGGAGACTTACAGTTTTCCACCTGGCTCATGATGTAGGCTCCAACCCAACACTTCTTTCAAAGAATCCGTGGTTTCTTTTAGTTTCCCTGTTAACTTCCTGCATTATTTCTTGGAAGAAAGTTCACAATGTGAATCTCTATACACTATTTTGTCTTTCCAACTGGGTGATGCATACTAATAATGACACCAATCTACCATCTTGGACATGAAGAAGTGACACTATTTCTTGATACTTTAGTTGAAAATATTTGTTAATACTCTGAAGATGCAAAACTCTTTGTGGTTTTTTGAGCATTCTGTAGATATGGTATATTTATTTTATCAATTGGGTAAAAAGCATCTATAGGATAAAGATAATTCCTTGTTGGAGGTGATTATTAAGTCAAAATCATTACTTATGGACTGAATTTTCCAGATTATTTCTCCAAATTCGCTTTTTCACTTGCAATGGTATGTGTGTATTTAACGTAACTCTCCAGTGAACCCATCACTATAAAGTATAAATTAGTATAGAATCTCTATTTATTAGAAAAAAACAAAACTGCTGGCCAAACACAACTTAGAAATTAAAATTCTATTGCACTTGGTTTTTTGGTGGTGTCCACACAAATATTTAAAAAGCATTCTGTTAGGTTGCAATTTGATAATAAAAGTAATAATAAAAGCCATACTCAAGAATCTGTCTTTTTCCATTCATTTGATTATGGACACCTAGTTTGCTCCCATATTGTAGCTACTGGGAACAATCTGGCAGTAAACAAGGGTGTGCAGATAGCTGTTTAACTTACCGATTTCAAATTAGTTGGATATATACCCAAAAGTGGGTTTGCTGAATCATATGGTAATTTTATATTTAGTTTTCTGATGAGACTTTATACTTTTTCTTAATGGCTATGTTAATTTACATTCCCATCAACAATGCCAAGGGTTCTCTTTTCCCTATACCCTTGCAAACGTTTGTTACCTTTTGTCTTTTTGATAGTAGCCCTTCTAAAAAGTTTGAGGTTATATCTCGTTGTGGGATACATACTCAGTGGAATACTACTCATCCTTAAAGAAGGGGGAAATCCTGTCATTTGCCACAATGTAGATAAACCTAAGGAACATTGTACTAAAACAAATAAGCTGGGCCCAGAATCACAAATACTGCATGATCTCACTTATATGTGGAATCTAAAATAGCTGAACTCATAGAAGTAGAGTGTGAAATGATGGTGACCAGAGATTGGGGGAGGGGAGTGAATGGGGAAAAGGGAGATGTTCATCAAAGGTTACATAAAAATAATTATATTATTTATACATTATTATGTATAAATAATTTTCAGTGACCTATTGCACAGAATGGTGTCCCTAATTAATAATGCATCGTATATTTCAAAATTGCTAAAGTAATAGATTTTAAATGTTTTCACCACAAAAAATGATAAGTATATGAGGTGATGGATTTAAATTAACCTGATTTAATCATTTCACATTGTAAATATATATCAAAACATCACATTGTATCCTGTAAATAAATACAATCATTATTTGTTAATTATGAGTTGGAAAAATAAAAATAAAAATAATGTCTTTCACAGGAATTAATATTTAAATATACCCATTCATAAGTATAATAGCGATAGAGTTTATTTAAATTTGTACTAAGAGATTAAAAAGTTGAGTTTAATAAAAAATATTAAGAACATATTTTGTATATGTTTTGGTTTTCTTAATTTCTTTCAAGCCTATTAACTTAATCAAAAGATTTGTACTAATGTCATACATTTGTAACAATTAAAAGTTAATCTGTATACCAAAAAAAATAAAGTAGCAGAAAAACAGAGCAGCAAAATTATTTCCACATCTAAGCTAAAATACAATATGAATATGTTTAGTTTTAGTTTAACAAGTATAAGTTGTAAGTGATTATTATTGGATTGAGTTTCTGTGCACAAGCAGAGATGTTTTCCTGGAAAAGGATTTGTGGTCTCAGAGACCTAACTTCTCATCATTTTCTACCTGCCCTCTTTCACAGCCTTAAGGGTCTCCTTAAGAACCTCATACCATACTTTTACAACAACTGCACAACATCATGGTGTTGTATAACTCACCTAATATTTTCAAAGTGTCATCTCTTGAAAGTGGACCTCTTTCTGTCAGGACTAAATCCATTCCATGATGTAGCTGATTGATACTGTGTTTCTAAGCTACCAGGAGAAACTCCAGGGAGGTATAAGGACATTTTTGCTTGTTTATTCAACCCCAAAGTAATAAACTAATCTATTCAACAAATATATATTGAGAACCTACTATAATTTAGACATTCTTGGCACCAAGGATACACCAGTGAACAAAATAATTAAAAATCTCTGACTTCATAAATATTATATTTTATGCTTTTTTAAATAACATGGACACTGGAGTCTAATTGTGTGTGTTTTAATCCCAACTCCACCACTTAATATTTGCATGGCCTTGTTCAAGTTACCTAATCTACTTATGGCCATTTTCATTATCTGCAAAATAAGTGTATTGATAGTGCCTACTTCCCACAATAATCATGAAAATTAAACAGTTAATATTTGTAAAATGCAGCACATAATGAGCAATATATATGTGTGTTAAATTGAAAATAGGCAATAAACAAAGAAATAAACCTATAGGACAACAGATGATGATAAATGCTATGAAGAAAACTAAGGTATGAAAAACATACATGTTATTGTGGTGTTCTAGGAAACAGCAAGGAGGTTATTGCTGCTGGAACAGAGTGAGGAAGAAGGGAAGGCAGTAGGAGTCATTAATACCACTTTAAATTTCTGTTCAAAGTGGATTGTTCTATAGTAATACATACATACTCTTCTAGGAAGCAGCATACTTCAACGGCAAACCATGGAAGTTGTAGGCTGCCAGGATATTGCTAACACCTGTTGGTTACCTACAAACAGAAAGTCCCTTGAAGAAAGAGAAGATAGTGTTTCTGTTTAACAGAAGAATATAAAGTGACTTTCTGATTAGGGGTAGGGGAGGAGATGGAGGAAACACATACTATTACTTTTGTGTGTCTTCAGTTTCTCCCTTCTAATGTAAGGGTCTACTTCGGTTGATGCTATAAAACAAAGAGTTCTAAAAATAATTTATTCTGTGCAAATAATCCACGGTTGGAATTGGGGGTGCTCTTCTTCTCAAATAGATCTGAGCTAAGTTTTAGAGCTGTGTTTAACCACAGATGAGAAATATTTGACTCTAAAAGAAGCCTCAGAATTAGTTAGCAAAATCATACTAATCTTTTATAATAGAAACTTTCTACCTATCAGAGAACAATTCCCCATTTCGCCCTTTTTCCAGCCTCTGGTAAACACCGTTATACTCTCTGCTTCTATGAGTTTGACTATTTGAGATACTTCATATAAGTGGAATCATGCAGTATTTGTCCATCCGTGACTGGCTGATTTCACTTAGTATAATGTCATCTAGTTTGATTAATGGTATTGCAAATGGCAGGATTTCCTTCTTTTTAAGGTTGACTAATATTACATTGTATGTATGTGCATAGCACATTTTATTTGTGTAGTCATCTGTAGGTGGACATTTGGGTTGTTTATATATCTTGATTATTGGAAATAATGCTGCAATAAACATAAAGTTTCAGATGTCTCCTTGATATCCTTTTTTTTAATTATTTTGGATATATACCAGAACTGGGATTGCTGGATCATATGGTTGTTCTATTTTTAATGTTTTGAGAATCCTCCATGCTGTTTTCCACAGTTGTTGCACTATGTTACATAAACAACAAGACATTGTACACTTTAAAATATGTTTAGTAGATCTCATGTTTAGTGTTCTTTTTTTGTTGTTTGTTTGTTTATTATTGTTATACTTTAAGTTCTAGGGAACATGTGCACAACATGCAGGTTTGTTACATATGTATACATGTGCCATTTTGGTGTGCTGCACCCATTAACTCATCATTTGCAGTAGGTATATCTCCTAATGCTATCCCTCCCCCCTCCCCCCACTCACGACAGGCCCCGGTGTGTGATGTTCGCCATCCTGTGTCCAAGTGTTCTCATTGTTCAATTCCCAACTATGGGCAAACCATCATTCTGAGCAAATTATTGCAAGGACAGAAAACCAAACACCGCATGTTCTCACTCATATGTTTAGGGTTCTTAAAAAAACAAGACAAGGACAATTTTAGAGGTGACAGATGTCTTCAGCACCTTGGTTGTAGTGATGGTATCATGGGTGTGTGTATATGTCCAAACTCATCAAGATGTATACACAAAATGTGTACAATTTTGGCATATATTTCAATAAAGGTAAAAAAGAAAGACACACAAAATAATTATAGAAAGAAATATTGTAATATGATGTAAGGCTAAAACCTGAGTTAGATTAAACTGTGAGTGAAATATTAGAGATCAGTAACAAAGGTAACATCTTTCATATAAGTGGGCGTTTCTTTAAATGCATGCACTGACTAGGTTCTCTAAATTTAGTTGTTTTGAAATTCTGATTAAGTTCAGCGATATTAAAAACAAGGCTTCTTAAGTTTATGTTTATCTATCTGCCTATCAAGGTATAGGTATCAAAGAAACATTTCTGTAATTTTGAGTCTAATGTTTGAAATGATAATTGAACATTCATGCCACACATATTTGCCAAGCATCCTCCATGATCTAGACACAGTTCTATGTGCTGGGTTGTGGTAGTAAAGAAAGCAAGCAAGAAGCCTGCTCTCATGGAGCTTACATCTACTGTGAGTGGTAGATAGTTGAAATTGAAATAATCTGAAAAAGACATATACATTAGGATAATTTATATGACTACCTTACTGCCACACAAAAATTCCTTACAGTAATCCACATTTACCAAAAATCAAGTAATAAAGAAAATAACTGGGGTCATGAGTAAATTTACAGACGCAAGATGTAAAATGATAATGTAAGTGTCATTAGTTCCAAAAGTGCTATTGATTGACCCCGACACCAATAGACAAACCCTTATTGTCCTCTAAGGATATCTAAAGGTGTTTTTTGTTGACGGTAATGATCCCTTAGGGCTGTTTTTAGTTTCAGCAGTGTATCTTGGTAAGCAAAGATTCAAAGACTCCAGAGGAGAGAAAAATAGTGGAGGAGTCTAATGGCATCAGGGACATGGGGGCTTCTACAGAACACCTCCGGCAACTATGCATGTATCAGGCACTGTCACTTAAACCATTCATGGGTTTGACTAGTTGAATACAATGTGTTTTGTTAAACCCTTCTCCCACCTCATTTTGAAAGCCATTTGTTATAATTCAAAGAACAGGTTCATTTATGTGGCACACTTCAAAATCAGATTTTGACAGAATTATTTGAAGCTGAGGAAGACTCACAAACTCTTTTATAAGCTTTCTGAAAGTTTCTTTTGATAAAACTACTATGTCACAATTTGCCAAGAGAAAGTAGATATAAAACAGAAAAGCTTGGTGACAATGACATGAGTCACGAGCTTGGTGAAATGTCACACCTAGAAGACAATGTCTTATGGAAATTATTAACACAATGTTCGGAACAGCTTTCATGGAGCTCTGCCTCTTAGCTGTCCAGACCCTATTATACTCATGCTATTCTGCGTGTATAATCAGCTTCATGAGTCAATCCAGTTAATGTGGTCATCTCAGTGAAAGGAGAAAAAAACACAAAATTACAACATCTATGTAAGTGTTAGTTTCATTAATGGGGTATTAAAAAAACCCAAATCTTTACCTATTGAAGAAACACTATCCCTCTTCACTGTTATAAAATCAGTGTTGCAATGGATTATGCAAATTAAAGCAATCCTGTCCTTGAAACATAGTTTTGTAAATGTCGAGTAATTGATAGAATCACAACACAAGAAATTTGACATTGCTGCAACATCCAAACATGGACTTACATTTTGTATGTTTTTTATTTTTAGTGTAACTTTTATAGTATTTTATTTGTAAAATATTTTATAAAACTATACATTGATGACAAGGTGGATATTTTAAAAACATTCTTCATCACTGCCTGCACCTATAATAAAAATGTTATGGAATATGTTTTCAAATCAAAAAAGTCCATGTATCCATGCAGGGAAATTTCAATACCCATCAAACATTTCTTATGCACCTATTATGTGCCTAGGCACATAATATCTTCCATTGGAGATATGGAATATCTTCCATTGGAGATATGGAAATGAATATACACAATATTTCCCCACATGGGGAAATAATGACATGTTGCTGAAATTGTGATCTACAGACAAGCAGCATTGTAGGCTTCATCTGGTATCTTGCTAAAAATACTCAATCTTTGACCCAATCACAGACCCATTTTAACACATTTTTAACAAGATCCCTAGGTGGTTCATGTGCACATTAAAGTTTGAGACGCATAGGGCTGGGCATGGTGGCTCATGCCTGTAATCTCAGCACTTGGAGAGGCTAAGTCAAGCAGAGGACATGAGTCTGAAGGTTTGAGACCAGCCTGGGCAACATGGCGAAACCCGGTCTCTACAACAACAACAACAAAAGTTAGCTGGGCATGGTGGCATGTGCCTCTAGTTCCTGCTACTCAGGAGGCTGAGGTGGGAAGATTGATTGAGCCCAGGAGGTTGAGACTGAAGTGAGCCATGATCATGCCATGGCACTCCAGCCTGGGCAACAGACGGAGACCCGGTTTCAAAAGCTTAAATGAAAAAATAAAGTTTGAGAAGCACTGATTAAATGAATTCTGTCGGGGCTACTCAGTGGATGTCTGGAGACTGTGATGGTCTGTCAACTGGTACATGGCAAGACAAAAATGGAAATAAAGAACAAGTCATTTAAAAATGTTTATAGCAACTTGAGACATTGCTGCAATGTGATCACCAATGTGATCACCAAAGGTGATCAGTGGGGCTGCATTTTGTATATGTTTGCTTTTTAAATTTTACCTTTCTATTAATTCACTTTTATTGTATTTTACAAAAGTACACTTTTGTAACAGATTATATATTTTTTTAAAAAGAAACTTCATCATAAGTAGTTTGAGTAGCACTACATTAGGTCGTTTGATCATCCAATGTCTGAGGCATGTAAAAATCTTAATTTTTCAGAAATTGTCTTAAAACTAGCTGCAATTGATCCTCAGAAATATTATTTTATATGTGTTATTTGATTTAAGAGAAACAGGCTTTTCAAAAATAAATTTGTGAGAAACTCTTCTGCTGAAATTTTGTGGAAGATGTAGATGTCAAGCAAAGATTTTTGTAAGAACTACAATTTTATGAAACAATATCATAACTACAAATTAAAAGTTGAAATTATTTTTCTTGTGAGTTGAAAGGATCTATTATCAAGGTGCTATCAGGGTAGTTTCCTGTTCTTGCTGAGTTAAGAGGACTTAAGAGAGTTCTAACAGATGAGAGTTAAAACTTAATGGTGAGTCATTTCAGTAGTAGGCTATGAAAGGGAAAACTCACAGATAAAATAATGTGCAGGAAATTGTGAAATCAAGTTGGTCTGAATTTATTCAAGAAGAAAACAGAGTTCCTGCCTTCAAAGAGCTTGCAGTTTGGCAAAGGAGACAGACATATAAAACTTATGTAACTAATGATTTATTTTTATTTGATACAGGAAAATTACTTAGTCTTGTGAAATATATACAGACAGAACCTGAGTTAAAATGGTCTGACTTTGATTTTTTTGACTTCACAATCATGCAAATGTGATAACATTCAGTATGCTCCTTGAATTACAGTGGGGTCTTTTCCAGATAAACCCATCATAGGTTGAAAATTTCATGAATTGAAAAGACACTTCAACTTAAAATGTTTTGGATGTTTGATGGTTTTATTGGGATGGAACTCCATCATAAGTCAAAAAGCATCTATAATTATATATAGTCATAAGTTTCTCAACCATGGGGATACATTCTGAGAAATGTGTCATTAGGCAATTTCATCATTGTGCAAATAAATGTCAGAGAGTGTACTTACACAAACCTAAATAGTATAGCCTATGATACACCTAGGCTATAAGGTATAGCCCATTGCTCCTAGGGCACAAACCTGTACATCACATGGCTTTACTGAATAGGTAATTGTAACTCATTGGTAGTATTTGCATGTCTAAACATATTTAAAAATAGAAAAGCTATTGTAAAACTACGGTATAAAAAAAAGTGGGATACATGTACAGAGCACCTACAATGAATGGAGCTTGTTGGACTGGAGGTTGTTCTGAATGAGTTAGTCAGTGAGTGAATACGAAGGCCTAAGTCATTACAGTCCACTACTGTAGACTTTATAAACACTGTACACTTAGACTATGCTACATATATAAAAATGATAAATTATATTAAAATTTAAAAATATTTTTAATAAAGTTTAACAGTTTTCTGTGACATTTTTACTTTTTAAAATCTTTTTGACTCTTTAGTAATAACAGCTAGCTTAAAACAGAAACACATTGTATAGCTGTGCAAAAATATTTTCTTTCTTTATATCCTTATTCTATAAGCTTTTATTTATTGTTAAAATTCTTTATTTAAACATACTTGTTATAAATGAAGACACAAACACACACATTAGCCTAGGCTTACACAGGGTCAGGATTATCAATATCAGTCTTTTATTTCCACATGTTGTCCAACTCCAAGTTCTTCATAGGCAGTAACACACATGGAGCTATCATCTCCTATGATAAAATGACTTCTTCTGAAATATCTCTTGACAGATCCCCTCTTGACAGATCTTCCTCTGGCTATTTTATAGTTAACTTTTTCTTATAAGCAAAAGGAGTACACTCTAAAATAATTATTAAAAGTATAATACAGCAAATACATTGGTTAGGATAGTCATGTATTGTCATTAATCCAGTGTTACATATTGTACATAATTGTATGTACTATATTTTTATGACTGGCAGCATAATAGGTTTGTTTACACCGGCATTACTACAAATATGTAACTGTTTGTGCTATGGTCTCACAATGGCTATAATGTCACTGAGCAATAGAAAGTTTTCAACTTCATTATAATTTTTTGGATTTTTTTAATGTTTGTGGATACACAGTAGGCATTTGCATTTATGAGGTACATGAGATGTTTTTATATAGACATGCAATGTGAAATAATCCCATCATGGAAAATGAAGTACCATCCCATCAAGGATTTATCCTTTGTGTTAACAATCCAATTACAATCTTTTAGTTATTTTTAAATATACAATTAAGTTATTATTGACTAAGATCACCCTATTTTGCTATCAAATAGTAGGTCTTATTCATTCTTTCTAAGTATAACTTTTGTACCCATTAATTATCATCACCTCCCCCCTCGACCCCTACTACCCTTCCCAGCCTCTGGTAATCCTCCTTCTACCCTCTGTGTCCATGAGTTGAATTATTTTGATTTTTAGATACCACAAATGAGTGAGAACATGTGATGTTTGTCTTTCTGTGTCTGACTTATTTCACTTAACATAAAGAGCTGCAGTTCCATCCATGTTGATGCAAATGACTGGATCTTATTCTTTTTATGGCTGAATACTACTCCATTGTGTATATGTGCCACATTTTCTTTACTCATTCATCTGTTGATGGACATTTAGGTTGCTTCCAAATCTTAGCTGTTGTAAACAGTGTGCAGCAAACATTGGAGTGCAGATATCTCTTTAATATACTGATTTCCTTTTGGGGGGTTATATATGCAGCAATGGGATTGCTGCATCATATGGTAACTCAATTTTTAGTTTTTTGAGGAACCTCCGAATTGTTCCTCATAGTAGTTGTAGTAATTTACATTCCCAGCAACAGTGTATGTGGGTTCCCTTTTCTCCATATCCTGGCCAGCATTTGTTATTTCGTGTCTTTTAAATCTAAGGTATTTTAACTGGGGTGAGATGATACCTCATTGTAGGTTTGATTTGCATTCCTCAGGTGATCCATGATGTTGAGCACTTTTTTATATACCTCATTGTTATTAGTATTTATTCTTTTGAAAAAGTCTATTCAAATCTTTTGCCCATGTTTTGATCAAATTATTACATTTTTTCAAAGAAAGTTCTTTGAGCTCCTTATATATTCTGTTTATTAATCCCTTGTCAGATGGATAGTTTGAAAATATTTTCTTTCATTCTATGGGGTATCTCTTCACTTTGATGACTGTATCCTTTGCTGTGCAGAAGCTTTTTAACTTAATGTGACCCCAGTTGTCCGTTTTTGCTTTGGTTGCCTGTGCTTCTATGGTATTTCTCAAGAAATTTTTGCCCACACCAGTATCCTAGAGATTTTCCCCAATGTTGTCTCATAGCAGTTTCATACTTTGTTTTAGATTTACTTCTTTAATCCATTTTGATTTGATTTTTGTGGTGACAGATAGAGGTCTAGTTTCATTATTTTGCCTATAAATATCCAGTTTTCCCAGCACCGTGTATTGAAGAGACTCTCTTTTCTCCAGTGTATGTTCTTGGTAAATTTGTTGAAAATGAGTTTACTGTAGGTGTGTGGATCTGCTTATGGATTCTCTATTCTGCTCCTTTGGTCTATGTATCTGTTTTTATGCCAATACCATGCTGTTTTTGTTACTATAGCTCTGCAGTGTAATTTGAAGTCAGGTAATGTGATTCCTCAAGTTTTGTTAATTTCTGTAGGCTAGTTTTTGCTATTCCTGGTCTCTTCTGGCTCTATATAAATTTTAGAGTTTTTTTCTATTTCTGTAAAGAATGCCATTGCTAGTTTGATAGGGATTGTATTGAATGTGTAGGTTGCTTTGGGTAGTATGGTGATTGTAACAATATTGACTCTTTCAATTCATGAACATGGAATGTCTTTTCATATTTTGGTGTCCTCTTCCATTTCTTCCACCAGTGTTTTATACTTTTCATTATAGACATCTTTCACTTCTTTGCTTAAATTAATTCCTATGTATTTAACTTTATTCGTGGATATTGTAAATGGGATTAGTTTTTTATTTCTTTTTCAGATTGTTCATTGTTGGCGCATAAAAATACTACTGATTTTTGTATGTCGATTTTGTAACCTATGACTTTATTGAATTTGTTTATCAATTCTAATAGTTGTTTGGTGGAGTTTTTAGCTTTGTCCAAATATAAGATCAAATCATCTGCTAGCAATGAAAATTTTACATCTTCCATTTGGATTTCTTTTATTTGGATGCCTTAGAATGTGGATGCCTTACATTATTTTCTCGCTGATGTTGAATATCTCTCATGTTGAATATCAGTGGTGAAAATGGGCATTCTTGTCATGTTACAGATCATAGAGGAAAGGCTTTCAGTTGTTCTCCATTCTGTATAACACTAGCTGTTGGTCTGTCATATATGGCTTTTATTATATTGAGGTATGTTCATTCTATACAGTATTTTGAAAGTTTTTATCGTAAAGGGATGTTGAATTTTGTCAAGTGCTTTTTCAGCATCACTTGAAATGGTAATGTGGTCATTATACTTCTTTCGGTTGATATCATGTAACATGTTGATTGATTTGCATATGTAGAGCCATCCTTGCATTCAAGGGTTAAATCCCACTTGATTATGTTGAATTATCTTTATAACATATTTTTGAATTTGTTTGCTTCTATTTTGTTGAGAATTTTTGCATCACAAGTCATCAGAGATATTGGCCTGTAGTTTTCTTTTTCTTTTCTTTTTTTCTTTTTTTTTTGTTGTATGTTTGTCTGGTTTTGGTATCAGGCTAATACTGGATTCATAGAATTACTTTAGTGTTCCTTCTTTGTCTATTTTTCAGAATAGTTTGAGTAAGATTCATATTAGTTCTTCTTTAAATGTTTCTGTTTTGTTTTGTTTTGATTTTTAAGAATTCAGCAGTAAAGCCATCAGGTCCTGGGCTTTTCTTTACTGACAGACTTTTTATTATGACTTCAATCTTATTACTTGTTATTGGTCTGTTCAGGTTTTGGTTTCCTCCTGATACAGTCTTGGTCAGTTGTATAATTATAGTAATTTGTCCATTTATTCTAGATTTTCCAATGTACTGCCATAGTTGCTCATAGTAGCCAGAAATAATCTTTTAAATTTCTGCAGTATCACCTTTGATGGCTTCCTTTTCACTTCTGATTTTATTTATTTGTATCTTCTTTCTTTTTTTCTTAGTCTGGCTAAAAGGTCGGTCAATTATGTTTAACTTTTCAAAAAATCAACACTTTGTTGATCTTTTGTGCTGTATTCTTCATTTTGATTTTATTTATTTATGCTCCATTTTTTATTTTTTCTTCTATACTACTAATTGTGAGTTTGATTTGTTCTTGCTTTTCTAATTTTTCAAGATGCACCATTAAACTGCTCACTTGAAATTTTTCTTATTTTTGATGTAGGCCCTAACTTCCTTGTTGGAATTGCTTTTGCTGTATCTCATAGGTGTTGATATGTTGTGTTTCTATTATTGTTTGTTTCAATTTTGTATTTCTTAGCGTATTCATTGAACAACTGGTCATTCAGTAGCATATTGTTTAATTTCCATGTGTTTGTGAGGTTTCCAAAGTTCTCCTGTTATTAATTCCTTGTTTTCTTCCATTGTAGTAAGAGAAAATGCTTGATTTGTAAAATTTGCTTTGAATTCTCTTGTTATTTACTTTTTATTTATTTATTTATATTTATTTATTTATTTTATCTTTTTTCCATAAATTATTGGGATACAGGTGGTATTTGGTTACATGAGTAAGTTCTTTAGTGGTTATTTGTGAGATTTTGGTGCACTCATCACCCGAGCAGCATACACTGCACCATATATGTAGCTTTTTATCCTTTTACTCCCTCCTACACTTCACCCCAAGTCCCCAAAGCCCACTGTATCCTTCTTGTGCCTTTGCGTCCTTATAGCTTATCTCCACATATCATTGAGAACATATGATGTTTGCTTTTCCATTTCTTACTTCACTTAGAATAACACAAATAGAATAATACAAATGATAATCTCCAATCTCATCCAGATCGTTGCAACTGCTGTTAATTCGCTCTTTTTTATGGCTGCATACTATTCCATCACATATATATTTATATATTTCTTTATCCACTCATTGATCGATGGGTATCTGTGTTGGTTCCACGATTTTGCAATTGTGAATTGTGCTGCTATAAATATGCACATGCAAGAATCTTTTTCAAATGATGACTTATTTTCCTCTGGTTAGATACCGAATAGTGGGATTGCTGGATCAAATGGTAATTCTACTTTTAGTTCTTTAAATAATCTCCACATGGTTTTCCATAGTGGCTGCACTAGTTTGCATTCACACCAGCAGTGTAGAAGTGTTCCCTGTTCACCACATCCATGTCAACATGTACTGTTTTTTGATTTTTTGATTATGGCCATTCTTGTAGGAGTAAGGTGATATCGCATTGTGGTTTTGATTTGCATTTCCCTGATTATTAGTGACGTTAAGCATTTTTTAACATGTTCATTGTCCAATATATCTGCTTTTGATAATTGTTTATTCATGTCCTTAGCCCACTTTTTGATGAAATTTAAAATTATTTTTCTTATTGATTTGCTTGAGTTTGTTGTAGATTCTGGATATTAGTCCTTTGTCAGATATATAGATTGTGAAGATTTTCTATCACTATGTGGGTTGTCTGTTAAAGCTCTTTAGTTTAATCAGGTCCCAGTTCTTTATCTTTGTTTTTATTGTATATGCTTTTGAGTTCTTTGTCATGAAATCCTTGCCTAAGCAAATGTCTAGAAGGGTTTTTCCAATGTTATCTTCTAGAATTTGGGTCTTAGGTTTAAGTCCTTAATCCATCTCGAGTTACTTTTTGTATAATGTGAGAGATGAGGATCCAGTTTCATTCTCCTACATGTGGCTAGCCAATTATCCCAGCACCATTTGTTGAAAAGGGTGTCTTTCCCCCACTTTTGTTTGTGTTTTCTTTGTTGAAGATCAGTTGGCTGCAAGTATTTGAGTTCTTTTTTTTTTTTTCTGGGTTCTCCATTCTGTTCCATTGATCTATGTGCCTATTTTTATATCAGTATCACTCTGTTTTGGTGACTATGGCCTTATAGTATAGTTTGAAATCACGTAGTGTGATGCTTCCAGATTTGTTCTTTTTGGTTAGTCTTGCTCTGATATGCGTGCTTTTTTTTTTTTTTGGTGCCATATAAATTTTAGAATTGTTTTTTCTACTTCTCTGAAGAATGATGGTTGTATTTTGATGGGAATTGTATCGGATTTGTGTATTGCTTTTGGCAGTATGGACATTTTCACAATATTGATTATACCCATCCATAAGCATGGGATGTGTTTCCATTTCTTTGTGTCATCTATGATTTCTTTCAGCAGTGTTTTGTAGTTTTCCTTGTAGAGGTCTTTCACCTTCTTGGTTAGGTATATTCCTAAGTATTTTATTTTATGTTTTTGCAGCTATGGTAAAAGGGGTTGAATTCTTGATTTGATTCTCTGCTTGGTTGCCATTGGTGTATAGAAGAGCTACTGATTTGTGTACATTAATCTTGTATCTGGAAGTTTACTGACTTCTTTTATTAGTTATAGGAGCTTTCTGGAGGAGTCTTTAGGGTTTTTGGGGTAAACAATCATATCAACATCAAACAATGACAGTTTGACTTCACCTTTGCCGATTTGGATGCCCTTTATTTCTTTCTCTTGTCTGATTGCTCTGGCTAGGACTTCCAGCACTATGTTGAAGAGGAGTGGTGAGAGTGGGCATCTTTGTCTTTTTCCAGTTCTCAGACAGAATGCTTTCAACTTTTCCCGATTCAGTGTTATCTTGGCTGTAGGTTTGTCATAGATGGCTTTTACTACATTAAGGTATGTCCCTCGTATGCCAATTTTGCTGAGAGTTTTAATCATAAACGAATGACGGATTTTGTCAAATGCTTTTTTGCGTCTATTGAGATGATCATGTGATTTTTGATTTTAATTCTGTTTATGTGGCGTATCGCATTTATTGACTTGCATATGTTAAACCATCCCTGCATCCCTGGTTGTGAAACCTATTTGATCATGGTGGATTATCTCTTTGATTTGTTGTTGAATTCGGTTAGCTAGTATTTTGTTGAGAATTTTAGCATCAATCTTCATCAAGGATATCAGTCTGTAGTTTTCTCTTTTGGTTATATCCTTTCTTGGTTTTGGTATTAGGGAGCTGCTGCTTCATAGAATGAATTAGGAAGGGTCCCTTCTTTCTCTGTCTTGTGGAATAGTGTGAAAGTGATTGGAACCAATTCTTCTTTGAATGTCTGAAAGAATTTTGCTGTGAATCTATCCAGTCCTGGAAGTTGTTTTGTTGATATTTTTTAAATTACCATTTCAATCTCACTGCTTGTTCTTGGTCTGTTCAGGGTATCTAATTCTTCCAAATTTAAGCTAGGAGAGTTGTATTTTTCTAAGAATTTATTCATCTTTTCTAGATTTTTTAGTTTATGTGTGTAAAGGTGTTCATAGTAGCCTTGAAGGATCTCTTATATTTCAGTGGTGTCAGTTGTAATATCTCCTGTTTCTTTTCTTAGTGAGGTTATTTGGATTTCCTCTCTTCTTCTTCTTCTTTTTTTTTTTTTTTTTTGCTTAATCTTGCTAGTGGTCTATCAATTTTATCTTTTCAAAGAACGAGCTTTTTGTTTCATTTATCTTTTGTATTTTTTGTTGTTGTTATTTGTTTGTTTGTTTCCGTTGCATTTAGCTCTGCTCTGATCTTGGTTATTTCCTTTCCTCTGCTGAGTTTGGGTTTGGTTTGTTCTTGTTTCTCTAGTTCGCTGAGGTGTGACCTTAGACTGTCAGTTGGTGCTTTTCCAGTCTTTTTGATGTAGATGTTTAGGGCTATGAACTTTCCTCTTAGCACCACCTTTGCCGTATCCCAGAAATTTTGATAAGTTGTGTCATCATTGTTGTTTAGTTCGAAGATTATTTTACTTTTCATCTTGATTTTGTTTTTGACCCAATGGTCATTTATTAGCAGGTTATTTAATTTCGATGTATTTGCATGGTTTTGAAGGTTCCTTTTAGGGTTGATTTCAAGTTTTATTCCACTGTAGTCTGAGAGAGTGCTTGATATAATTTCAATTTTCTTAAATGTATTGAGGCTTGTTTTATGGCCTATCATATGGTCTATCTTGCAGAAACTTCCATGCACTGTTGAATAGAATGTGTATTCTGTGGTTGTTGGATGAAATGTTCTGTATATTTCTGTTAAGTCCACTTGTTCCAAGGTATAGTTTAAATCCATTGTTTCTTTGTTGACTTTCTGTGTTGATGGCCTGTCTAGTGCTGACTGTGGAGTATTGAAGTCCCCACTATTATTGTGTTGCTGTCTATCTCATTTATTAGGTCAATTAGTAATTGTTTTATAAATTTGGAATCTCCAGTGTTAGGTGCATATATGTTTAGAATTGTGATATTTTCCTGTTGGACAAGGCCTTTTACCATTATATAATGTCCCTCTTTGTCTATTTTAACAGCTGTTGCTTTAAAGATTGTTTTGTCTAATATAAGAATAGCTACCCCTGCTCACTTTTGGTGTCCATTAGCACGAAATGCCTTTTTCCATCACTTTACTTTAAGTTTATGTGAGTCCTTATGCGTTTGGTGTGTCTCCTGAAGGCAACAGATAGTTGGTTGTTGAGTTCTTATCCATTCTGCTGTTCTGTATCTTTTAAGTGGAGCATTTAGGACTTTTACATTCAATGTTTGTATTAAAATGTGCGTTCATCATGCTCTTTGTTGGCTGTGTACTTTGTTTTTTTGGTTTGTTTTTGATTTCCTTTTTAACTTATATTTTTGTTTTATAAGTCTTGTGTGATTTAGGCTTTACATAGGTTCTGTTTTGATATTTCCAGGATTTGTTTTAAGATTTAGAGCTCATTTTAGCAGTGGCGTGGTAATGGCAAATTCTCTCAGCATTTGTTTGTCTGAAAAAGTCTGTATCTTTCCTTCATATCTGTTGCTTAGTTTCGCTGGATACAAAATTCTTGGCTGATAATTGTTTTGTTTGAGGAGGCTGAAGATAGGGCCCCAATCCCTTCTAGCTTGTGGGGTTTCTGCTGAGAAATCTACTGTTAACGTGATAGATTTTCCTTAATAGGTTACCTGGTGCTTCTCTTTCACAGCTCTTAAGAAACTTTCCTTTGTCTTAACTTTGAATAACCTGAAGACAATGTGCCTAGACAAACATCTTTTTGCAATGAATTTCCCAGGTGTTCTTTATGTTACTTGTATTTGGATGTTTAGGTCTCTAGCAAGACTGAGAAAGTTTTTCTTGATTATTCCCCCAAATATGCTTTCCAAGCATTTAGAATTCTCTTCTTTTTCATAAACACTGATTATTCTTAGGTTTGGTCATGTAACATAATCCCAGACATCTTGGAGGATTTGTTCATATTTTTTTTATTCTTTTTTCTTTGTCCTTGGTGGATTGGGTTAATTCAAAGACCTTGTCTTCAAGCTCTGAATTTCTTTCTTCTACTTGTTCAATTCTACTGCTGAGACTTTCCATAGCATTTCACATTTTTAAAAGTGTGTCCAGAGTTTCCTGAATTTTTGATTGTTTATTCTTTAAGGTATCTATATCCTTGAATATTTCTCCCTTCAGTTCTTGTATCAGTTTTTGGATTTCCTTGCACTGGGTTTTGCCTTTCTGTGGTCCCTCCCTGATTAGCTTAATAACTAACTTCCTGAATACATTTTCAGGTGAATCAGGTATTTCTTCTTGGTTTCGATCCATTACTGGTGAACTAGTGTGATTTTGATTGGGGGGGGTGTTGAAGAGTGTTGTTTTGTTATATTACCGGGGTTCATTTTCTGGCTCCTTCTTATTTGGGTAGGCTTTATCAGAAGAAAGGTCTAGGGCTGAAGGCTGTTGTTCAGATTCTTTTGTCCTATGGGACTGTTCCCTTGATGTAGTTCTCCCCCCCCTTTTCCTATGGATGTGGCTTCCTATGTGATTGTTCACATAGGACAACTCCAGTGATTGTTGTGTCTCTTCTGAGTCTAGTGACGCAGTGAGTCTACCTGGCTCTAGGCTGGTACCGGGGGTTGTCTGCACAGAGTCCTGTGATGTGAACCATCTATGGGTCTCTCAGCCTTGGATACCAGCACCTGTTCTGGTGGAGGTTGGGGGGTGGGACGTACAATGGACTCTGTGAGGGTTCTTAGCTTTGGTAGTTTAATGCTCGATTTTTGTGCTGGTTGGCCTCCTTCCAGGAGGTGGCACTTTCCAGAGAGCATCAGCTGTGGTAGCATCGGGAGGAACTCATGGTGGGCAGGGCCCTAGAACTCCCAAGATTATATGCCCTTTGTCTTCCACTACCAGGGTGAGTAGGGAAGGACCATCAGTTGGGGTTGGGGCTAGGTGTGGGGGGAACTCAGACTCTCCTTGGGCGAGTCTTGCTGCAGCTGCTGTGGGGGATGGGAAAAGATTCCCAGGTGACTGCAATTGTGTACCTAGGAGAATTATGGCTGCTTCTGCTGAGTCATGCAGGTTGTCAGGGAAGTGGGGAAATGCTGGCAGTCACAGGCCTCACCCAGCTCCAACACAAACGGAAAATCATCTCACTCCCACTGTTTCACCCCCAACAGCCCTGAGCCCATTTCCAAGCAGAGAGTGAGACAGGCTTGAAAACCTTCCCCAGGCTACCCTGTGGTTGTTGAATGAAATGTTCTGTATATTTCTGTTAAGTCCACTTGTTCCAAGGTATAGTTTAAATCCATTGTTTCTTTGTTGACTTTCTGTGTTGACCTCCCAGCCGCTAAAGAAAAGGGCTTGGGTTTCCCTGCCTGTGTAGTCTGCACACCACATTTGGACTTCCCTCAAGTTCTGGCCAGGAGGCTTCTCACTTCACTCAAATTGTTACAAAGTTTAGCTAGATATTTCTATGCCCTGGGTATTTACAATCAGCATTTAGCAAAGACAACGAGGCATGTGTTCTTCACTTTAGTGTGGCAATACAACAAACATCACCCATTCAAAAGTAAGCACTCACACGAGAAAACAAAGCAGATGAGTTAGAACGAACAAAACAGCAGGCAACAAAAATAAACTTGCAAACTCTTCAAATATTTAAATCAGACATGAGCCAAGATGGCTGACTAGACATAGCCAAGGGAAACATCTTCCACCAAGACACCAGGAAATCAAGACGACTGGTACAATTTGAGTGCATCTTTGGATGGAAGGCAATGTGAGTGGATGAGGGGAGGACATAGATGCTGAAATGATGTGGGAGAAGTCTGAGAAGCCTGCATGGGGCTCTCAAGTATTAGGATATGTTCTGTGCCCTAGTTATTTCTGGGGAAGGGATGACTTGAGCAGGCAAGGAGTGTTCTGCTCTCACCATGGACCTCTGGAATCTTAGCAGTAAGAGACCCCACAACCCCCACAAAAACTTGACATTGCAGACACCTATGCTAAAAGAGGTGGCAGGGGCAGCCCTATGGCCTCTGTGAAGCTCAGAGTGTTTAGTATGTGAAGAATCACAATGGAGCGTGGGCATGGATACCCATCCTTCAAGGCTCTCCATGCTCCCCTAAGAGACTTTGGCCTTGGAGTGACTGTTTGATTTGGATAAGTGGGACAGGGCCCGTCTGATCTGTACTCCCCACTGTCTGCTTGCCTTCTTTGGGGCCCCAGCCAGGCTGTGCTCACCTGCAGCAGAGCCCCAGATTCCCAACCAAAGTACTTCTACATGGCTTTCATCATAGCTTCTTCACCAACAAACTGCCTGACGGTAGCAGTTCTAGCAGTCCATCCTTCACTGATGCTCATCAGCACAACTACAGCCTCCCCTTGTAGCTCTGACAGTACAAACATACCCATGCCTTCCATCCCCACTACCACCACTTTGCTGGCATTCATGCATGGGCAGACTTCAGCTTACCTCCTCCACCAGTGTAACTATACTCATGAAGACTACTGTACCACCATTGATGGCAGGTGCACACCATGACACACCTGTCCACTAATGCATGGGTCCCTCCCATGTCACCTTTGACAGTACACATGCACACAGGGACATGCATAAACCTACCTAGACCATGTTGCACTGCCGCCTGTGCAAACATGCACACATACATCAGTAAATCCACCACTACCAGCGCCCCATTCTCACTCCTGCCACCACTACATGTATAAGCACAGTTGTCAACAACCCTAATCTTGCCAAGATCCACCCATGATGCATTACCACTGCCACTTGTGAGACTTCATACAGGATTGCTGCCACCTAACTCCCACCAGTTCCCTGACCTAGCTGATGCACATGCACCCTGTGGCACTGCTGCAGCTGGTAGCATGCGCAAGTGACAATGAATGACCCTTCCATTGCCCTAATGAAGGCCTTGAGTCAGCATCACCAATCAGACTAGGAATAGACTAGGAACACCCTGGCTCCTCCAGTGCAGTAGGTTCCTGAACTTAAGGGGATAGAGAACAAAACTGAGGACCCAATAGCATCCCCCCAGAGTTAGAACACACAGCACAAGAGTGCTGAGCACAACCTTGGCCTGTTAAAATCTTCCAGAAATTAAGCCAGTTGACTTAATGAATTTTAAATCAAAATCAAACCCCCAAGGGCATCAAAGAAGGTAACAGCTAAAGAATAACAACTTCAAAGATTAAAGGATCATCAGCTCACAAAAATGAAAAAGAACCAGTGCAAGTAATCTGGCAACTCAAAAAGCCAGAGTATCTTCTTACCTCCAAATGACCACACCAGTTCCTCAGCAATGGTTTTTAACCAGGTTTAAATTGCTGAAGTGACAAGCATAGAATTCAGATTATGAATAGGAATGAAGATAATCAAGATTCAACAGAAAGTTAAAACACAATGTAAGGAAACTAAGGAATATAATAAAATAATACAGGATATAAAAGATAAAATGGCCATTTCAAGAAAGAATCAAACTCATCTGATAGAGCTTAAAAATTCACTTCACAAATTTCATAATAGAATCACAATATTAGCAGTAGAGTAGAATAAGCTGAGAAAAGAGTCTCAGAATTTGAAGACTAGTTATCCAAATTAAAGCAGTCAGACAGAAATTAATAAAGGAGAATAAAAAAGAATGAAAAAAACCTCTTGGAAATGTGGGATTACGTAAAGAGACCAAATTTATGACTCATTGGCATCCCTGAAAGAGAGGGAGAGAAAATAAGCAACTTGAAAAATATACTTGAAGATATAATCTATGAAAATTTGCCCAACCTCAATGGAGAGGCCATCATTCAAATTCAGAAAATGCAGAGAACTCCTTTGAGATCCCATAGAAGGTGACCATCCCAAGACACATAGTCATCAGATTCTCTAAGGTTGAAATGAAAGAAAAAATGTTAAAGACAGCTAGAGAGGAGGGGCAGGTCACTTACCAAAGGAACCCCCTCAGTCTAACAGGTGACCATTCAGCAGAAACCCTACAGGCCTGAACAGATTGGGGGTCTATATTCAGGATTCTTAAAGAAAATCAATTCCAACCATGAATCTAATATCCAGCCAAACTAAGCTTCATAAGTGAAGGAGAAATAGGATCCTTTTCTGATAAGCGAATGCTAAGGGAGTCTGTTATCACCAGACATGCCTTGCAAGAGGTCCTTAAGGGAGTGCTAAATATGAAAATGAAAGACCATTACCAGTCACCACAAAAACACACTTAAGTACATAGATAGTAGAAACTATAAAGCAGTTACACAATCAAGTCTACATAATAACAGGTAACAACATGATGACAGGACCAAATCCACACATATCATTATTAACATTTAATGTAAATAGAATAAATGCCCCCACTTAAAAGGCACAGAGTGCCATGTTAGATAGAAATGCAAGACCCCACTAAATGCTGTCTTCAGGAGACCAATCTGACATGCCATGACACCCATAAACTAAAAGTAAAGAGATAAAGAAAAATGTATCATGCAAATGGAAAACAGAAAAAAGTAGAAATTGTTATTTTAATTTTAGACAAAACAGGCTTTATATTGATATTGATCAAAAAGACAAATAAGGACATTACATAATGGTAAATGGTTCAACAAGAAGACCTAAGTGTCCTAAGTATAATGCATCCAACACAAGAGGACCCAGACTCACATAACTTGTTATTAGAAACCTAAAAGGAGACTTAGATAATCACACAAAAATGGTGGAAAACTTCAATATCCCACTGACAGTATTAGACAGATCATCAAGTCAGAAAACTAACAAAGATATTCAGAACCTGAACTCCATATTCAAAAATGGGCCTAACAGATATCTACAGAACTCTCCACCCAAAACCAACAGAATATTCATTCTTCTCATCACCACATGACACAGAGTCGACAATCAACCACACATTAAGCCATAAAACAGTTCTCAGCAAATTCAAGAAACTGAAATCATACCAACCACACTGTCAGACCACAGTGAAACAAAAAGAGAAATCAACACTAAGAAGATGGCTCAAAACTGTAGAACCACATGGAAACAAAACAACTTGCTCCAGAATAAATTTGGCTTAAGGATAAAATTAAGGCAAAAATAAAATTCTTTGAGACTAATGAAAATAAAGATACAAAATACCAGAATATCAGGTACCCGCAAAGCAGTATTAAAGGGAAAATTTATAGCACTAAATGTGCACGTGAAAAAGTTACGAAGATCTCAAGTTAACAACCTAACATAAAAACTACAGGAAGTAGAAAAGAAAGAGCAAACCAAACTCAAAGCTAGCAAAAGACAATAAATAACCAAAATTAGAGAAGAAGTGAATGAAATTGAAACACAATAAAATTACAAAACAGATGAATCTAATGGTGGTTATTTGAAAGATTAGATAAGATTGATAAACTTCTAGCTACACTAATGAAAAAAAGAGAGAAGATTTAAATAAACACAATCAGTAATGGCAAAGGGGACATTATCACTGACCCCACAAAAACACAGAAAACCCTCAGAGACTACTACAAACACCTCTATGCACACAATGTAGAGAACCTTCAAGAGATGGATAAATTCCTGGAAACATACATCATCTCCAGACAAAACCAAAAAGAAATTGAATCCCTGAAAATACCAATAAGGTGTCCTGAAATAGAATCACTAGTAAAAATCCTACCAACTAGAAAAAGCCCAGGAACAGACAAATTCACAGCCAAATTCTATCAGACGTGTAAAGAAAAACTGGTACCATTTGGTACCACTGGTACCACCAAAACTATTTCAAAAAAATAAATAAAAAATAATAAGAAGAAGGAGGGAATCCTCCTTAAACCATTTTATGAGCCCGGCATCATTCTGATGACAAGACCTGACAAAGACACGTACACCAAGGAAATTTCAAGCCAGTATGCCTGATGAGCATGGTTGAAGAACATCTTCAACAAAATACTCGCAAACCAAATCTAGGAGCACATTTAAAAGCTAATCCACAATGATTAAGTAGACGTTATCTTTGTAATGTAAAGTTGGTTCAAACTACACAAATCAATAAATGTTATTCATCATTTAAAAGAACTAAAACAAAAATCACACAATCTTCTCAATAGATGCAGAAAAGACTTGATAAAATTCAATATCCTTCAGGTTAAAAACTCTCAACAAACTAAGCATTTAAGGGACATACCTCAAAATAATGAAACAAATCTATGTCCAACCCACAGCTAGCATCATACTGAATGGGCAAAAGCTGGAAGCATTCCCCGTGAGAACCAGAACAAGAAAAGGATGCCCATTATCACCACTCCTATTCAACATGTTACTGGAAGTCCTAGCCAGAGAAATGAGACAAGAGAAAGAAATAAAAGGCACCTAAATAGGAGGAGAAGAAATGAAACTATCTCAGTCTGCAAACAATATGATTCTTTACCTAGAAAACAACGTAGTCTTTGCCCAAAAGCTCCTATATCTAATAAACAACTTTAGCAAAGTTCTTGCATGCAAAATCAATGTGTAAAAATTGGTAGCATTTCTATGCACTAACAACATGCAAGCTAAGGGCCAAATCAAGAATGCAATCCCATTTACAATAGCCACAAATAGAATAAAATACCTAGAAGTACAGCTAACCAGGAAGATGAAATATCTCTACAATGAGAATTACAAAACAGCACTGAAAGGAATCACAGATGACACAAATGGAAAAAACCTATCCATGCTCATTGATAGGGAGAACAAATATTGTTAAAATGGTCATTCTGCCCAGAGCAAGTTATAGATTCAACGCTATTACTATCAAACTACCAATGAGAGTCTGCACAGAAATAGGAAAAAAAAAGCTATTTTAAAATTCATATGGGCTGGGTATGATGGCTCATGCCTGTAATCCTAGCCCTTTAGGAGGCCAGGGTTGGCAAATGCACTTGAGGTCAGGAGTTTGAAACCAGCCTGATCAATATGGTAAAACCCTATCTCTACTAAAAATACAAAAAAGAAAAAAAAATAGCTGGGCATGGTGGTGGGCACCGGTAATCCCAGCTACTTGGGAAGCTGAGGCGGGAGAATCACTTGAACCCAGGAGGCAGAGGTTGCAGTGAACAGAGATCGCGACACTGCACTCCAGCCTGGGTGATAGAGTGAGACTCTGTCTCAAAAAAAAAAAAAAAAAAAAAAAGGAAAAGAAAAAATTCATGTGGAGCCTAAAAAGAGCCTGAGTAGCAAAAGCAATCCTAAGCATAGAGAACAAAGCTGGAGGCCTCACAGTACCTGACTTCAAGCAAAGCTATGGTAAGCAAAACAGCATGGTACTAGTCCATAAACAGACACATAGACCAATGGAACAGAATAGGGAGACGAAAAATATGACCACATACCTATAACCATTTGTCCTTCGACAAAGTCAACAAAAACAAGCAATAGGGAAAGGACGCCCTGTCCAATAAACTGTGCTGTGATAATTGGCTAGCCATATGCAGTACAGTGAAACCAGCCACCTTCCTTACATCATATACAAAAATCAGCAAAGATGGAGTAAAGACTTAAATTGAAACCCTGAAACTATAAAAACCCTTGAAGAAAACCTAGGAAATACCATTCTGGACAGAGACCTTGGCAAAGATTTATGACAAAGACTCCAAAAGAAATTGCAACAAAACCAGAAATTAATAAGTATGACCTAATTAAACTAAAAAGCTTATGCACAGCAAAATAAATTATCAACAGAGAAAACAGGCAACCCACAGAACTGGAGAAAGTATTTGCAAACTATGCATCTGATATAAGTCTAATATCCAGAGTCTATAAGGAACTTAAACAAATTAACAAGTAAAAAACAACTCCATTACAAAGTGTGCAAAGGACATGAACAGACACTTTTCAAAAGAAGACATATACCTGACTAACAAGCATATGAAAAAATATGCAACATCACTAATCACTTAGAGAAATGCAAACCAAATGCACAATGAATAGTATCTGTCTCTAGTTAAAACGGTATTATTAAAAATTCAAAAAATATCAGGTGCTGGTGAAGTTGTGGAGAAAATGGAATGCTTATACACTGTTAATGATAATATAATCATTTCAGCTATTGTGGAAGGCAGATGGGAAATTCCTCAAAGAATTTAAAACAGAACTATTATTTGACCCTGCAATTCCATTATTGAATATATGTGCTAAGAAATATAAATTCTTTTAGTAAGAAGACACACACATGCATATGTTTACTGCAGCACTATTCACAATAGCAAAGACATGGAATCAACCTAAATGCCCATCAGTTGTAGACTGAACAAAGATCATATGGTACATATATACCACCATGGAATACTATGCAGTCATTGAAATAATTAGATTATGTGTTTTTCAGCAACAGATAAAGTTGGAGACCATTACTCTAAGCAAACTAATGCAGAAACAGAAAACCAAATACCACATATTATCATTTACAAGTAGGATCTAAACATTGAGTACACATGGACAAAAAGAAGAGAACAACAGACACTGAGGTCTACTTGAATGTGGAGGGTGAAATGAGGGTGAAGATGGAAAAACTGCCTGTCAAGTACTAATGCTTATTACCTGGCTGATGAAATAATCTGTACACCGTACCCCTGTGACATATAACTTACTTATATAGGGAACCTCCACATGTATACCTGGACCTAAAATAAATTTTTAAAAGCCCAAAAAAGGAAATATTTAAAATCAACAAATAATAAACAAATATTCTTACACTTAACCAACTAAAATTTTATCAGGAATAGCATATTAAAAATTCCCAGAGGTTTGAAAACACACCAAATATAACTGCTAGGAATGAAAGTAGGAAATAACAGAATTTTTTAAGTCAGCAGATTCATTTAAAAAAATTAACATATGTGAAGACATACTTGGTAATCTTGAAGACGGGTCACAAGAAATTTTCCAGAATGCAGCATAGGGAGACAATGAGACAAGAAATATAAATATAGTAACTGTTAAGGGACATATAGACAAAAAGCTTTTTTTTCTGAATTAAAGCAAAACAAATCATCTCTCACATCAGGATTCTCATACATTCTATTTCCACAGCCTGAAATGGTTTTCCCCCAGATTTTTGCACTGGCAGATAGCTGGTCCTTTCTCATTTTTGAGACTGTAGCTTACATGTCATACTCCTGGAGAGACTTTCTGTGGAGGGTATTGAGTATTTTATTTTTCAGGCAACAATTTATCCTTTGTTTCTTATAATATGGAGTCTAAAAAGCAACATCAAAACACAACAAAACACTATATAGTTCAGATTTCTTTACACTTAGTCCTGAAAAAATGAGGTTCCACTAATTATATGCACTTCTGTGGGATTAGGAAAGCAGAAAAGAGACAGAAAGCTCTTGTTGTTGCTATATCTGTTGGCAAACAAAATCATGGATTGAGAAGCAATTGCGGTGACTGAACTTAGATTTCCAGTGGCTCATCATCAATTTCATCAATGTTGAGTGGCAACTGAGGCAGTGTTAGCAGTTATTGCAGGAGTAATGGCTTTGTGATCTCCGAATCACTGGATAATGATGTTCTCTCTCTTTCCTTCTTTTGGCATTATTTAAATAAAATATTTATTTATATATATAATATATTTATATATAAATATTTTATATTTATATTATATATAAAATATATTTTTATATCATAACATTTACACTTTTAAAGTGTTCAATTCAATTGGCTTTAGAACATTTTTAGCCTTATACCCCCGTCACTACTATCTGTTCCAGAATATATTCATTAATCTCCCCGAAAAACTCTGTATCTAATAGCAGCACTCTCCTCAGCTCTTTTCAACCACTTCTCAGCTCTTGTCAACCACTAGTCAAATGTCTGTTCATAGAGTTTCCTGTTCTGGACATTTTATATAAATGACATCACAATATGGCTGTTGGTCTGACTTTCTTTACTTATCATGTGTTTTTAATATTCATCCATGTTGTAGCAGGTATCAGTATTTCATTCTTTCTATGATTAACATTTCCATTGTATAGCTATACCACCTTTTGTTGATCCACTGATCAGTTAATGGACACTAGGTTATTTCCAAGTTTTGGCTATTAGAATAATGCTCCTGTCAACAATCATGGGCACATTTTTCCGACACATGTTTTAAACTTATTGAGGTACATATCTGGGAATCACTGGGCCATGAGACAAATTCTATGTTCAAATTCTGAGGAACTGCCAGACTATTTACCAAAGTAACTACAACATTTTACACCCTTATCAACAATGTATAATGGTTCCGGTTGTCCACATCTTCTTCAACATTTGCTACAAGCTTTCTATTTGATGTTAGCCATTCTATTGGATGTGCTGAGATATCTCATTGAAGTTTTAATTTGCATTTTTCTAATGACTATGTCCAACAACTTTTTAGGAGTTTGTTGGGTATTTGCATATCTTCTTTAAAGAAATGTTCATTTACATTATCTTCACATTGTCTAAATGGATCATTTAATTTGTTAATATTATTTTTGAGTTGTAAGGCTCCCTTATGTATTTTGTATGCAAATATCTTATCAGATAGGTGATTTGCAAATTCCCTCTCATTCTGTAGGTTGTTCTTTCACTTTCTTACTGATTTCTTTTAAAGAATGAAAGTTTACATTTTGATGAATCCAATTTATCCAGTTTGTATTGTATCACCCCTGCTTTTGGTTTTATATCTAAGAATCAGTGTCCTTATACAAGGTCATGAAAATTTACACCTATAGTTTCTTCTAACAGTTTTGTAGATTGAGCTCTTACATTTAGGTCTTTGATCCATTGGGTTAATTTTAGTGTATAGTGTGAAGTAAGAGTTTAAATGCATTCTTTTGTATGTGTCAACAATATACAGTTGCAGCATAATTTTTAACTGTGATTAAAAATTAATTGATATCCAGTTCTATCCATGTCATTGCAAATGACTGAAGTTGCTTGAGAGAATGGATACCCCATTCTCCATGATGTGCTTATTTCACATTGTATATCTGTATCAAAACATCTCATGTACCCCATAAATATTTACACCTACTATGTACCCACAAAAGTAAAAAATAAGAAATAATTAAATAATTAAAACATTGATAAATAATAATTGTGTTTTTATGGGGTATAAGGTGTTGTTTTGATATATGTATACATTGTAGAAAAATTAAATCAAAATGATTAACATATTTATCACCTCACCTACTTATCTTGTTTTTGTGGTGAGAATGTTGAAAATACACCCTTCTAGTAATTTTGAAACATGCATTAAGTATGATCACCATGTTTTGCAATAGATTACTAAAGGTTTTTCATTGTTTTGCAATAGATTACTACAACTTTTTCTTTTTGTCTAACTGAAACTTTCTACCCTTTGACTAACATGTCTTCTTTCCGTGTCTTCCACCTCCAGCCTCTGTTAACCACAATTTTATTATGTTTCCATAGCTCTGTTTGACTCTCTGTTTCTACTCTCTGACTTTTTTAGATTCTACATATATGTGAGATTAAAAAGTATTGGATTTTTTTCCCAGCAACATTTTTAAAAACACTACTCATTCCTTAACTGAAATGTCTTCATGATTTGCCAAAAATTAGTTGACCATAAGTGCATGGGTTTGTTTCTGGACTCTCAATGTGTAGTTCCACTGAACTACACATGTCTATGCTTTCGTTAGTACCTCACTATCTTGATTACTATAGCTTCATTATAAGTTTTGAAATGAGGAATTATGAGTCCACTGACTTTGTTCCTCTAGAGATTATTTTGGCTATTTAGGTTCTCTTGTATTTCCATATGAATTTAAAATCAGCTTGTCAATTTCTGTGATAAAGTAAGCTGGGATTTAATAGGCATTACTTTGAATCCACTAATCATTTTTAAAAATATTACCATCTTGTTTTCATTATGATAAAAATACATGCGATATACCTGATAATTTTTTAAGTGCACATAACAGTATCGTTTAGCTATAAACATAATGTTGAGCAGCAGATCTCCAGAACTTGAAATTTTATCCTGCATGACTAAAACTCTACTCCTGTGAAATAACAATTCACCCATTTTCCCTTATCCACAGTCCCTGGAAATCACTATTCTACTTTCTGTTTCTATGAGTTTGACTATTTTAGATACTTTACATAAATGGAATCATGCAGCACCTGTTTTGATGTAACTAGCTTATTTCACTTAGCATAAAGTCTTTAAGGTTAATCCACATTGCAACATATGATGGGATTTCCTTATTTATGGCTGAATATTATTCTTGCTGTCTCATTTATAGACATATGTTTATATGTGTATATGCATCTCATATTTATATGTATATACTATGTATTACACACATATGTGCTGTATATCATAGACACATATAACGTTATATATGCAACATATATTACACAATATTATATATAATATTTATATTATATATGTAGCATATGTTACATACATATATACATGTGAGTGTATATATGTACATATATATTAGAGAGGTACACACATTATATTAAACACATTATATATATATATTTATATCACATTTTCATTGTTTATTCATCTGTTAATGGCCATTTAGTGCCTTTTCAAATCTTGGTTATTGTGAATAATGACACAATGAATATGGGATTACAAGTATCTTTTTAAGGTCTTGATTTTAATTTGTTTGGATAAATACCCAGAAGTGAGATTCCTGAGTCATATGCAGATATTTTTAATTTTTTGTGGAACCTTCATACTATTTTCCATAACAGCTGCACCACTTTATATTCCCACCAAAAGTGTGTAAGAATTCCAATATTTCCACATAGTCATCTGATATTTTCTGGATTTTTAAAGTAATGACTACTATTTTCTGGATGTTAGTGTTCCCCCAAAATTCACATGTTGGAATCTAACATGAAATGTGATTGTGTTAAGAGGTGAGGCCTTTGGGATGTGACTAGGTCATGAGACCTCCCTTCTCATTAATGAAGTTAGTAGCCTCATAAAAGAAGTTGAAGCAAAATCCTTTGCCCCTTTGGCCATGTGAGGATGCAGCAACAAGGCACCATACATGAAAAAGAGAATCAGTCCTTAACAGACACTGAATATTCCAGTACATTTATCTTGGAATTCCCAGATCTTGGACATGTGTATTCTTGACCACCTTGTTGAAGGTCAGTTGACCATATATGTGTGGGTTTATAGAGAGCTTAGCAATAAACCCATACATCTAATCTCTCTATTCTAGTCCATTGGTCTACATGTCTGTCTTGTCAGTACCATACTCTTCTGATTTTGGTAGCTTTGCAATATCTTTTGAAATCAAGAAATGTGAGGACTCAAGCTTTGTTCTTTCTCAATATCATTTCAACTATTTAAGAATTTTTTTGTGATTCCATGTGAATTTTAGCTTTGTTTACTATATTTTTGTAAAAAATACCATTGGAATTTTGATAGGAATTGTATTGAATCTGTAGATTGCTTTGGGTAGTATGAACATTTTAGCAGTAGTCTTCTCAACCATAAACACAGCAAAATTTCCATTCATTCATGTCTTCTTTAATTACTTTCACTGATGTTTTGTAGTTTTCAGTATATAGATCTTTCACTTCTTTATTTCTAATTATTTTATTCTTTTTGATGCTACTGTAAATTGATTTTTAAATTTTTTTATTGGATTGTTCATTGTTAGCATATAGAAACACAATTGATTTTTGTATGTTGATATTGTATTCTACAACTTTGCCAAATTTATTTATTAGCTCCTGAAATTATTTTGTGGAACTTTTAGGGTTTTGTATATATAAGATTATATCACTTGCAAACAGAGATAATTTAACTTCTTTCTTCTGGATTTGTATGCCTTTAGTTTCTTTTTCCAGTCTAATTGCTCTGGATAGAATTTCCAGCATTATGCCAGGTAGAAGTGGTAAGAATGGACAACCTTGTCATATTCCTGATCTTAGCAGAATAGCTTTCAGTTTTTATCATTGAGTTTAATGTTAGCTTTTAGCTTTTTATACTTTATTGAATGTATAAATATTTAATATGGCTTTTATTATGCTAAATGGTCTTCTGTTCTTAGTTTATTGAGTGAGCTTATCATAAAATTGTTGAATTTAGTCAAATGCTTTTTCTGCATCTATTAATATGATCATATACTTTTTATTTTTGAATTTGTTAGTATGATATGTCACATTGATTAATTTGTATGTATTAGTCATTCTTTAATCCTTTGAATTAATTTTGCTTGGTCATAGTTTATGGTCCTTTTCATGTGCTATTGAATTTGTTTTGCTTGTATTTTGCTGAAAATATTTGCATCTATATTTATCAGAGTTACTGACCTTTGATTTTATTTTCTTGTATTATGTCTGCCTGGTTTTGGTATCAGAATCATGATGATCTCCTAGAACAAGTTTGGAAGTTTTCACTCCTTTTTGGTTCTTTGAAGAGTTTGGATAGGATTGGCATTAATTATTTACATGTTTTATAGAATTCACCAGTGAAGCTATCTTGCCGTGAGCTTTTCTTTGCTGAAAGGATTTTGAGTGCTGATCAATGTCTACTAGTTGCAGGTCTGTTCAGATTTTCTATTTCTTCATGATTCAGTCTTGGCAGGTTGCATGTGTCTAGGAAAATATTCATTTCTTCCAGGTTATCTAACTTGTTGTTTATTTAGTTACTCAGAGTAGTTTCTTATAACACTTTTAATTTTTATGGAATCTGCTATAATGCCACCTTTTTCATTTCTGATTTTATTTATTTGATTCTTCTCTCCTTTTTTCTTAATAATCTAGCTAAAAGTTTGTCAAAATTGCTAAATTCTTAATTTCATTGATTTCTAATTTTTTTTATTATTTATTTCTTTAATTTCCATGCAAACTTCTTTCTTTACTAATGTTAAGTTGGCCTTAGTTTGTTCTTCTTTTTCCTAGTTCTCTGAAGTTTCAAGTTAGGTTCTTTATTTCAAACACTCCTTTTATTTAACATAGACATGTATTACTAGAAACTTCTCTTTTGCCACTGCTTTTGTTGTATCCTGTAAGTTTTGGTATGTTGTGTTTCATTTGTCTCAAGATAGTTTCTATTTTTTATTTTGATTTCTTTATGGACCTATTTGTGTTCAAGTATGTGTTTAATTTTCACATTTGTGATTTTTAAAAATATTCCATTTTCTATTAATATTTATTTTCATTCAAATGTTTTCAGAAAATATGCTTGGAAATTTCAATCTTCTTAATTTTATTAGGAGGTGTGTTTTGACCTAAGTTGGGGAGTGTCAGCATCTTGAACATACTAAGTTTTTCTATCCATTAACACCAGATATAGTTCGATTGATTTAAAACTTCTTTAATTTTTTCAACAATATTTTGAAGTTTCAGTGTACGTTTTTTATTTCTTTTGCTAAACATATTCTTATGTATTTTATTTCTTTTGATTCTTTTTCAGGTGAAATGGTTATAGTAATTTCATTTTCAAATTGAAATGCAGTTGTCGCTATTTCAAGCTAAATGATTTTATTAAATTCATTTTGAATTCTATTCTAAGTATAGAACTACAAATTACTCTTATACATTGATCTTATATCCTGCCACCTCACTGAACTCATTAATTAGTTCCAATAGTTTTTAAGATTTACCATAGTTTTTTCTATATATACAAGTTCCTGTCATCTGGAAAAAATGATAATTTTATTTTTCCTTCTATCTGGATGTATTTTCTTTCATTTTTTTCTAATTCCTTAGCTAGAACTTCCAGTGCCATGTTGAATAAATGTGGTGAGATTAGACATTGTTCCTGATTTTATGCATAAATTATTTTCAACGCTATCATTATGATTTTAGCTACAGGTGTTTCATTGATGACTTGGATCTAGAGGAGAAAATTCTATTTTATAGGCAGTTTAATGAGTATTTTAAAAATGAACAGTGTTGGAATTTACTACTGATTTTATGCATTTATTGTGATGATTTCTTATTTTTATCTTTTATTAATATAGCATGTTCTATTGATCGATTTTTATATGTTAAACAAACCTTACATTTCTAGAATAAATCCCACTTACTAATGTATTTTTTGTACATTGTTGAATTTGGTTTGCTGTATTTTATTGAATTGTTTTACATCTATATTCACAAAGGTTATTGGTTTGTATTCTTCCATTTGTGGTGACTTAGAAAATGATTATTTCTCCTCTTCTTTATGAAGTATTTCTCTTGATTCTTTTTCAAATGTTTGATGGAATTTGCCAGTGGAGCCATATTGGTTTATAATTTTTGTAATAATTTTTTTATTACTAACTCATTTCCTATAGGGCTCTATTTGTATTTCCTATTTTGGAGTTAATTTTATTAGTTATGTCTTTCTAGAAATGTTTCCATTTTCTATAGAATATCTAATTTTTTGGTATAGAATTGTTCACAGTATAACCTTATAATCTCTTTTATTTTGGTAAAGTTGGTAGTAATGTTGCTATTTCATCTGTGATTTGATAATTTGAAACTTTTTTATTTCTTGTTTAACTAAAGAATCTCCATTTTGATGCAGAACCAACTTTTGATTTTATTGATTTTTGTATATATTTTTTTACTGTTCTCTATTCTATTTATTTCTCCTTTAATCTTCATTTTCTGTCTTCACATTGCTTTGGATTTCGTTTTATCTTACTTTTCCTGTGTCTTAAAGTTGACGTTTATGTTACTGATTTTAAACTTTTCTCATTTAAGTATGGATATTTACAGGTATAAATGTCTCTCTAAGTTGTGTTTTTGCTGTATTTTATAATTTTTCTGTGTTTCTTTTTGTTTCAAATCACTTTAAAGTATTTTTAATTTCTCTCATAATTTCCTCTCTTACTCATGGGTAATTTAGAGATGAATTGTTCCATTACAATATTTTGTCAATTTCTTAAACTTTTAAAAAAAATTTTATAGATTCACGAGGTACATATGCAGGTTTGTTACATGGATATCTTGTATGGGCTTCTTGTGTACCCATCACCTGAATAGTGAAGACTGTACCAAATAGGTAATTTTTAAACCCTTATTTCCTACCCACCAGTCCCCCTTTTGAAGTCCTCTGTGTCTTTTATTTCTGTCTGTTTGCCATATATACCCTAAAACCAAACTTTCTTATGTCATTGATTTTTTAATTTAATTTCATTGTCTTCAGAGAATATATGTACCATTATCTGAATGTTTTAAAGGTATCATCAGTGCTTGTTTTATGGTTTAGAATACTATCTATTCTGAACAATCTTGCACGGACATTTGAAAATAATATGTATTTTGCTCTTGATCTGTGGTATGTTCTGTTTATATGTATTATATTTAATTGGATATAGTGTTGTTCAAACCTTCTTTTTTTATTGTAGAGCCTACTTGTTCTATGCATTATTGAATAGGAAATATTGAAGTCTTAATCTATTATCAGTTAACTGTGTCTTTCTCCCATCAGTTCTGAAAGTCTTTGATTCATATCTTTGTGGCTTTGTTGGTAAGTACATATACATTTAAAATTGTTACGTCCTCTGACAGATTTATCATGATAAAATATTCCTTTTCTGTAGTAACTTTTTTTGTCTTAAGTTTCATTTTGTATGACATCAGTGTAGCTGCTTAGCCTCTCTTTTGGTACTTCTTTGCACAGTATATCTTTTTTGCATCTTTAACCATTTAACCAATTTGCGTCTTTAAATCCAAATTGTATCCTGTACACAGCATATAGATAGATCATGTTTCCTTTTTTAAAAAAATACAGATCCACTCTACCTAACTTTATCATTTAATTGGAATGTTTGGTCAATTTATATTTAATGTAACTATTAATAAGGTATCATTTACACCTGCCATTTTTGCTATATTTAATCTGATTTATATCTTTGGTTTCTCTATTTCTTCATTACTGGCTTTGCTTTTATTAAATATACATGTTCTAGGGTGCAATTATAATGCCCTTTTTAAAAGTCATCACTTAATTGTTGCCTGAGGATTACAATTAACTCCTTAAATATTTTGCTTTGAATTAACATCAACTAAACTTTAACGGTATATAAATCTTTCTCTTCAATAGCCTTATAAGAAAGACCTTTTTTGTGTTATTATTGTCATACAAACTGCATCTTTATACTTTAGAAGAGCATCAAAACCATTTCAAACTATTGCTTTTCATGGATGCCTTTTAAATAGTATAGTAGAATAAAATCATTAAAAAAATGCAATTACTCTTTTATATTTCTCTTGGTAGTTACGCTTATTTATTTATTTATTTACTTGTGGAGCCAATCTAATAGTGACAGATTCTCTCAGTGTTGGTTTGTCTGGGAATGTCTTAATTGCTTCTTTAATTTTAAAAATAAACCATCTTGGTTATTTTCAAGTTTTTGGCAATTATAAATTAAGCTTCTATAAACATCTGTGTGCAGGTTTTTGTGTGGTCATCAGCTTAGGTTTCCTTTGGGTAAATACTAAGGAATGCAATTACTGGATCATGTGGTAAGAGTATAAGTCAGCTTGTAAGAAACTGCCAAACTGTATTTCAAAGTGGCTATACCATTCTGCATTCTCACAAGCAATGAATGAATGTTCTTGTTGTTCCACACACACCGGGGCATGTCGGGGGTGGGGGCGCACAGCAAAGGGAGGGAGATCATCAGGACAAATAGCTAATGCATGTGGGGCTTAAAACCTAGGTGACTAGTTGATAGGTGCAGCAAACCACCATGGCACATGTATACCTATGTAACAAATCTGCACGTTCTGCACATGTATCCTGGAACTTTAAAAAAAAAAAATTCTTGTTGTTCCAAAATTTCACCAGAATTTGCTGTTATTTGCTTTGGATTTTGGCCTTTCTAAAAGTTGTATAGTGGTACTATTCTTTCAATTTTGTGGAATAGTTTTGCCATATACAGAATTATTGGTTGAACCATATTTTTTTTCAGAACTTTCATAATGCCATCTAATTACCTTCTTATCTCCATGGTTTCTAACAACAAAAAGGTATTAATCTTATTAATATGTTTATGAAGCTTAGTTTGACTGTGAAATTCTTGGCTGGAATTTCTTTTCTATATGGTTATATGCCATAACCATATATGACATTCTGCTCTGTCAAAGTCTGACAGTCCCCAAAGTCCAAAGCCATCTAAGGGGGAATGGAAAGCCTTGGTGGACGGCTATTCCTGGTGATGCTCCATTGCAGCCACTCCCATGCCAAACCCTCTCAGCTCCACAAAGGTTGGAGTCCTACCCCTGCCACCTCTCCAAACACTTGTCCCTGCCAGCTCAAGTGTCCATAGGACTCATAAAGTGCCCTGCAGCTAGGATTCAATAGGTCTATGGTGAGAGCAGGTCACTTTTTTTCCTGTTCAAATCACCCATTCCCCACAAGCCACTTCAGGCCTGGAATAAATTCTGGTGCTCAGCAGCCCCATGCAAGGTTTCCAGCTTTCTTGGTCTTTTTAAAAATGTGTATTATTTTTTCTTTTGACTTTTATTTTAGATTCAGGAGGTAGGTGTGCAGGTTTGTTGCATGTGTAAATTGTGTGCCAATGGGGTTCGGTGTATGAATAGTTCTGTTATCCAGGTAGTGAGCATAATACTCAATATTTAGTATTTTAGTGTTCATGCCTTTCACCCACTCCCCATAGTATTTCTAAGTGTCTTTTTAAAAAATATTTATGTCCTTGTGTATGCAATGTTTAGCTCTCACTCATAAGTAAGAATATGTAGTACTTGTTTTTCTGTTTCTATTTTAATTCACCTAACAAGATGGCCTTCAGTGACATCAATGTTGCTACAAAGATTGTGATTTCATTATGTTTTATGGCTGTATAGTATTCCCTGGTGTATATTATCACATTTTTCTTTATCCATTTCACTGTTAATAGGCATCCGGATTGATTCTATTTCTTTGCTATTATGAATAGTGATGCAATGAACATGTGAGTTAATGGTTTTTTGGGGTAGAACAATTAATTTTATTTTGAGTATACTTGGTAATAGGATTGCTAGATCAAACGATTGTTCACCTATTAGTTTTTTGAGAAATCTCCAAACTGATTTCCGTGATGGCTTAAAGAATTTGCATTCTTCCCAAAAGTGTATAACCATTCCCTTTTCTCCACAACCTTGCCAACATTTGTTATTTTTTGATATTTTAATATTTAATAATAGTCATTCTGACTGGTATGAGATGGGATCTCATTGTGGCTTTGATTTGCATTTCTCTGATGACTAGTGATATTGAGATTTTTTCTTTTTTTATTATTATACTTTAAGTTCTAAGGTACATGTACACAATGTACAGGTTTGTTACATAGGTATACATGTGCCATGTTGGTTTGCTGCACCCATCAACTCATCATTTACATTAGGTATTTCTCCTAATGCTATCCCTCCCCCCTCCCCCCACCCCCCAACAGGCCCCAGTGTGTGATATTCCCCTCCCTGTGTCCATGTGTTCTCATTGTTCAATTCCCTCTTATGAGTGAGAACATAGTGTTTGGCTTTCTGTCTTTGTGATATTTTGCTGAGAATGATGGTTTCCTGCTCCATCCATGTCCCTGCAAAGGACATGAACTCATCCTTTTTTATGACTGCATAGTATTCCATGGTGTATATGTGCCACATTTTCTTTATCCAGTCTATTATTGATGGACATTTGAGATGGTTCCAAGTCTTTGTTATTGTGAATAGTGCCACAATAAACATACATGTGCATGTGTCTTTATAATAGCATGATTTATAATCCTTTGGGTATATACCTAGCCACAGGATTGCTGGATCAAATGGTATTTCTAGTTCTAGATCCTTGAGGAATCACCACACTCTCTTCCACAATGGTTGAACTAGTTTACAGTCCCACCAACAGTGTAAAAGCTTTGCTATTTCTCCACATCCTCTCCAGCATCTTTTGTTTCCTGACTTTTTAATGATCACCATTCTAACTGGCATAAGATGATATCTCATTGTGGTTTTGATTTGCATTTCTCTGATGACCAGTGATGATGAGCATTTTTTCATATGTCTGTTGACTGCATAAATGTCTTATTTTGAGAAGTGTCTGTTTATATCCTTTGCCCACAAATGTCTTCTTTTGAGAAGTGTCTGTTCATATCCTTTGCCCACTTTCTGATGGGATTGTTTGCTTTTTTCTTGTAAATTTGTGTAAGTTCTTTGTAGATTCTGGATATTAGCCTGTTGTCAGATGGATAGATTGAAAAATTTTTCTCCCATTCTGTAGGTTGCCTGTTCACTCTGATGATAGCTTCTTTTGCTGTGCAGAAGCTCTTTAGTTTAATTAGATCCCATTTGTCTATTTTGGCTTTCGTTGCCATTGCTTGTAGTATTTTAGTCATGAAGTCTTTGCCCATGCCTATGTCCTGAATGGTATTGCCTAGGTTTTCTCCTAGGGTTTTTATGGTTTTAGGTTTTACATTTAAATCTTTAATCCATCTTCAGTTAATTTTTGTATAAGGGGTAAGGAAGGGATCCAGTTTTAGCTTTCTACATATGGCTAGCCAGTTTTTCCAGCACCATCTAATAAATAAATTTAATAAATCTTTCCCGATTGCTTGTTTTTGTCAGGTTTCTCAAACATCAGATGGTTATAGGTGTGTGGTGTAATTTCTGAGGCCTCCGTTTGTTCCATTGGTCTATATATCTGTTTTGGTACCAGTCCCATGCTGTTTTGGTTACTGTAGCCTTGTAGTATAGTTTGAAGTCAGGTAGCATGATTCCTCCAACTTTGTTCTTTTGGTTTAGGATTGTCTTGGCTCTGTGGGCTCTTCTTTGGCTTCATTTGAAATTTAAAGTAGTTTTATCCGATTCTGTGAAGAAAGTCAGTGGTAGGTTAATGGGGATAGCATTGAATCTATTAATTACCTTGGACAGTATGGCCACTTTTATGATATTGATTCTTCCTATCCATGAGCATGGAGTGTTCTTCCATTTGTTTGTGTTCTCTTTTATTTCGTTGAGCAGTGGTTTGTAGTTCTCCTTGAAGAGGTCCTTCACATACCTTGTAAGTTGGATTCCTAGGTACTCTATTCTGTTTGCAGCAATTGTGAATGGGAGTTCACTCATGATTTGGCTTTCTGTTATCTGTTCTTGGTGTATAGGAATGCTTGTGATTTTTGCACATTGATTTTGTATCCTGAGACTTTGCTGAAGTTGCTTATCCGCTTAAGGAGATTTTGGGCTGAGATGATGGGGTTTTCTAAATATACAATCATATCATCTGCAAACAGAAACAATTTGACTTCCTCTTTTTCTAATTGAATACCCTTTATTTCTTTCTCCTGCCTGATTGCCCTAGCCAGAACTTCCGGTACTGTGTTGAATAGGAGTGGTAAGAGAGGGCATCCTTGTCTTTTGCCAGTTTTCAAAGGGAATGCTTCCAGTTTTTGCCTATTCAGTATGATATTGGCTGTGGGTTTGTCATAAATAGCTCTTATTATTTTGAGATATGTTCCATCAATACCTAGATAAAACCACAAAGATGGGGAGAAACCAGAGCAGAAAGACAGAAAATTTCAAAAACCAGAACTCCTCTTCTCCTACAAAGGAACACAACTCCTCACTAGCAAGGGAACAAAACTGGAAGGAGAATGAGTTTAACGAGCTGACAGAAGTAGGATTCAGAAAGTCGGTTATAACAAACTTCCCTGAGCTAAAGGAGCATGTTCTAACCCATCGGAAGGAAGCTAAAAACCTTGAAAAAAGGTTAGATTAATGGCTACCTAGAGTAACCAGTGTAGAGAAGGGTTTAAATGACCTGATGACCTGATGGAGTGGAAAACCACAGTACGAGAACTTTGTGAAGTATACACAAGCTTCAGTAGATGATTCGATCAAACAGAAGAAAGGATATCAGTGATTGAAGAACAAATTAATGAAATAAAGTGAGAAGACAAGACTAGAGAAAAAAGTGTGAAAAGAAATGAACAAAGCCTCCAAGAACTATGGAACTATGTGAAAAGACCAAATCTACATTTGGCTGGTGTACCTGAAAGTGATGGGGAGAATGGAATCAAGTTAGAAAATATTCTTCAGGATATTATCCAGGAGAACTTCCCCAACCTAGCAAGGAAGGCCAACATTCAAATTCAGGAATACAGAATTTTTAATTTATATTTATTGTCCATATGTATTATTTCTTTTTTCATAATTGCCTGTTAATGATTTATTTGCACTTTTTAATAAGGTTGTTTGTTATTTGCTTGTTAATTTATGTTCCTTGTAGATCCTTGACATTAGACCTTTGTCAAATGCATAGTTTGTGAAGATTTTCTCTCAATCTGTAGATTGTTTACCCTGTTTATAGTTTCTTTTGCTGTACATAAACTCTTCAGTTTAATTAAGTCCCACTTGTCCATTTTTTGTTTTTCTTGTAATTGAGTTTTGGGTCTTTGTCCTAAATTCTTATCCAAGGCTAATGTCCAAAATAGAATTTTCTTGGTTTACTTCTAGGATTTATAGTTTCAGGTCTTACATTCAAGTTTTCAATTCATCTTGAGTTGATTTTTGTATATGGCAAAAGGAAGGGATTCAGATTAAATCTTCTGCATAAGGCTATCTAATTATCCCAATACCACTTACTGAATGCAGTGTCCTTTCCCCATTGCTTGTTTTTTAAAACTTTGTCAAAGATCAGATGGTTGCAGGTGTGCAAGTTTATTTCTGAGTTCTCTGTTTTGTTCTATTTGCTTTAGACCTGTTTTAAACATATTTATAATTTATATTTGATATTAATAATAGGCAATTTAATGTCTTTTTCTAATAAATGTAATTGTGGGTTTCTGGAGAAACAATTGCTATTCATTGCTTTTTTTTCCTGAGTATGTGTTCACACTTTACTATTTATTAACATGATTTTTTTCGAAGCAAATTTTTTAAATATTATAGTTTTTTAGCTCTGAAAGTTAACTCCTTCCCTAACCTTTGTTTTCTGTTCTTGTTATTCAATGGTTGTTTTTGCTTATTTAATAAGTACTCTGGCCTAATTCTGAAATGTATATTCTTTACCATATTGTCCACTAAAGTCACTGCTGGGTTACTTAGTAAATAGAAATAGGTGGGATAAATATTTTCTTAAATATCTTGACATAATAAGTCTCCCCAGTTTTGTTTGTACTGGGGCATACATTCTACAATTATACAGAAATTTTATATCTCTATCTTAGTCTACACTTATTGTTTGTGGAAAGAATCATGGTCAGCCACAAGTGCAAGCTTATGACATTCTAGTATTTTTCCTAGATATGTGCAACGCTCTTTGTATGTTTTATGCTTTTCTAGGTGCCCATAAATATGTTACAACTTTTTCAACACCCCTTGTAGACATCTAAGCTCATTTTCTTTTTTTTCCTGTAGATTTTCTCATCAGCTCCAGTGAATTTGGACTAGAGTTTCCATTCCAGGGAGCTTCAATTTTAAACAATTACCAGTGATTGTTTAGACTAACACTAACCCTCTGGGAATAGAATTATTTGCATAGAATAAAATCTGCCTTAGGTGAAATAAAACAAACCCTGAGAATGGAGCTTTAAGGGAGCATCCAAACTCAAATAATGATGAGTCCATGAGGAATATGACTTTTGGGGAGTTTTAAACACATTCTTTCTCCTCTAGCCGCTGCTAGGCATAACTACCATAGTTGAAAGGCTCTTGAATTTTTAATGCTGCAGTGGAGTTGAGGAAAAAAGGATAAAATTGTGGCAAGTAAAAATGCTACAAACTTTATGGTTCTTCTTACTGAGCTTCAAGTTTTTCTTGAATAAATGCTTCTCAGATTGTTTTAATCTTTTGGTTAATTCCAGCCTTCCAAAAAGTTGATTTTTACATTCTTTGGGTCACCCTCCCTGTTTCATTTACAGAAGAGGCAATTATCAAAATTTCTTACTCCACAACTTCAGAAGTGCTTTCTAATGATGTTTTCGTAACTCAATAACTCAGTGGCACCTAGATTTCTCCTCTCAAGGGCCTTTCAACAATGTGCCTTCTTTCCTGTATTAAATTAATTTCTTCTTAAATACCTAAAATAGTTTATTTTTCTTTTTTTAACTTTTATTTTAGGTTCGGGGGAACAAGTGAAAGTTTGTTATATTGGTAAATGTTATGCCATGGGTGTTTGATGTATAGATTATTTTTCATGGCACTGAATCTGATTGATATATCATCCCTATTTATCTAATATAAAATTCCTGTTACTATCACTGAACCTTCTTTGCTCTCTTAATCTCACATAAAAGTTTAAAAAATGTGTTTATTGGCCAGGCGTGGTGGCTCACGCCTGTAATCCCAGCACTTTGGGAGTCCGAGGTGGGCAGATCGCCTGAGGTTGGGAGTTCAAGACTAGCCTGACCAAAATGGAGAAACCCCACCTCTACTAAAAATACAAAATTAGCCAAGCATTGTGGCGCATGCCTGTAGTCCCATCTACTTGGGAGGGCAAGGCAGGAGAATCACTTGAACCCAGGAGGCAGAGGTTGCGGTGAGCCAAGATCGTGCCATTGCACTCCAGCCTGGGCAACAAGAGTGAAACTCTGTCTCAAAAAAAAAAAAAAAAATATTAATTTACTTGTTTATTATCTGGCTTTGCCATTAAACAAGGGTCAACATTTTCTTTGTTCAGTATCATATATTAGTAATTATTCCAATGATGGGCACACAGTAGATGATAATTACATATTTATAGAAAAAAATGGGTCAATAATAAATGAATGGAGAATTATGGAGGAATATAGTAATAAATAAAATAACTGGATTGGCACACATTTTATATGTGCTGTGCTTCCAAAAATATTTTCCTCTTGGGGTTTGAGAGTTGAAATTTTTAACTTGCAAGGCATCAGAAAAATTAGAATTAAAGGGTTTTATTTCATTATGAATATTTTCAACTGATTACTGGAATATAAGCACTATAGTAAGAAAAATGTTCTGTGAGAACAAAAAATATGTTTTGTTCAGAGCTGTATCTCTAGTTTCTAAAACAACATTTTGCACATTGTAGAGAACCTGAAAGGTATAAATATATACCTTTATCCCCTCCTTTCTTAGTCTTACTTTTTACCTCTCAAGGTACCAAATCATCTGTTTCACTCTCTTTTTTGTTTCTATTAATTCTACAGTATCCTTTTTAAAGCATGAAAATCAGAAATAAAGACAATATCTTTGACCTATATTTATTCTATCACTCTACAAAAGCTGTTGTCATGGGCCTTACAATCTAATGTAGACAAGACTATCTAGGTTATACCAATAGATAAATGAAAATGTTAATGTAGCATATAGCTATACCATAATCTATTTCAGTATAGAATTTTTAAATATCATTAAGGGCATTTTTATTACAGGGAGTTAGAGAAAAGGTTAGTAATAACAAATAAATCATTTCTAGATATAGCAGAGAGAGAAGAACTCTTGGTCAATACAAGACGGCTTTGTTAAAAAATGTACATTTTCAAGAGTGAGTTGAAATATTGCTCATATATTATGTGATACTACACAGCAATACATTCTCAGGCTCTAGAGTCAGACATCTCCTTTTCAGACCTCATCTTCATCACTTACTAAGTGGTTAATGATGAACACGTTATTTCTTTGAAAATTAGTATGATCATTTATAAAATAAGAATAACAATAGTTTCTTAACTTACTAGATAATTGTGAAAATTATATAGGCTAATCCAGTAAACACTTAGTTTACAACTTAACACATAAGAAATGTGTCAATAAATATAAAATATCATTGTTATTATAATTGCAAGCACAAGGAGTTTAGACACAGAAGACATGAGTTTACCAACACAGGTCTACCTTTTGCGAGCTGTCATGACATTGGCCAGGGAACTTAACATTCTTGGGCCTTAGTTTTCATCTGTGGAAAGTGAGTAATGATAATACTTATCTTGTGATGTGGTTATAAAGATTAAATGAAGTCATTCCTTATAATCTACTCAACATGGTGCTCAGCATTTAAAAAGTTCCCAATTTGATGTTAGTCCTTGTTGTTATTATTATTACTGTGAAATAAACATGGCAAATCATTTTCCACATGGCCTTCAGCAAGTTAATTTTCTTACCTGGAAAATAAGCCTGATAATGTTATTTTTAAAATAAAATAGTGTCTGTTCTTCCATAGTTGTTGACAGGAATTAGTGAGGTTATCTGTACAAAAACATTTATAGGCCATTAAATAAAAATATTACTTGTATATTAAATATAGTTACATAATTGCTTTGTGACTGGCCAATTAATATAGTGAGCTAAACTAATAAACTAAGATATTTGTGAGTGATGATAGCTTAATTGGTGATCTTTATAAAATAACAAATTTACATTTTCCATAATCTGAATTTTGAAATTTAAAGTAACATGGCGGATTTCCTAGTCCAAATTCTCCATCTATTTAGAAAAAACAGGTTTAGAAACTAAAGTGTCTTTTCCAAAGTAAACAATGTGTTCATGGATGAGATGGGGTTGGAACTCAGATTTCTGTGTATCTGGTCTAGTGTACTTTTCAATTGATCTTTAATATGCTTCAGCTAGAAAAGCAATATTAATGGTAGGAATGTCGAGTGCTAAGGCAAGAAAGTATGGTGAAATATTTGATTCCATGTATCACAGTACCCCCAAGTCATATTTCATTAGTGACAAAATGCCTATTGCAGTCCTATTCTATAAAAGTGGCTGGTACTTGGCTTCCTAATAATGCAATAGTGGTGGCTGCAAACAACTTTACTCACCATGTGCAACCATAAAATTACAAACAGGCACTTATGTAAAACCCACGTATCTATATGTGTCTTTATTCAAATTCAAGAAGTACCTGTTGCTCTTAAAAATTAAAGGAATTTTTTTACTTGAGTTGTTTTTACAGATTTCAGACACTTATTTAATGGAAGTTTCAATAAACAGGGAAATAATTTTAAAAATACTGACAGATATGAATTACCTTTTCATATGTCTGATAAAATAGAACTAAAATAGACAGAAAAATTAATAACATGTTTTCACTGTTAGTTTAAAGTAAACATTGTTGGAAATCTCGGTATTCCAGAAACCTATTAAGCATGTAAGGAAAATCTTTTCTAAGCAGTAGTGCACCTTGTGGTAAAAATGGACATAAAATACAGTGTTTATTAACTTATCTTTATATAAATAGACATGAGTTAAAATTTTTGCTCTGTCATTTACTAGCTGTGTGACCCTGAACGACTTAGTTAACCTAGCTAAGCAATAATTTTCTCATTTGTCAAATGAGGCTTAATACTAGTATCTATTTCATAGGGTTGTTAAGAGGATTAGAGGACATGATAATTTATCCAAAACCACTTAATACAGTTCCTGTATAAAAACAACTCAGTAAATGGAAACTTATCATGATCGGTGTTTGTTGCCGAAGTGACTCATTAATAAAGACTGAAGGTATAAATAATAGAAAATCTCCTCAAGCCAGTAGGTTGTACTGTAGTTTATCTCTGTTGGATAGATGACATTTTATTAATTACTTGGTAGCTACTGTCCTTGTTTTACACTCTAACTTTAACATGGAACAGCATTTGGCTTTTCACTCTTATCTTCAACATCTAAGACATTTTATATAGATCTTATATTCAATGTGTGTGATTAATTTTTTAATACATACAATCATACAATCCTATGGAAAACTTCTCAAATGATGTTTGAAATGCTCAATTAGACAATTATGAGTGTTAAAATATCTGTTTTAACTTATGGTAAAATCTGTCCCTTTTTAAAACTCACCGTTGGTCCGAGTTAACCCTCTCAGACCATTTTAAATTGAGATTATCCCTTGGGTGCAAATCCAAAATTTCTAATACCTTTTATATAAGATCACCTTTCACATATTTGGAGAGGGATCTCATGTCTCACAGTGAATTTTTCTCTTTCAGGGTAAACATGCAAAATTATTTAAAACATTTTTCATATAGCTTAATTGTATTACCACTCTCAGTACACTTTCCTCAATGCATTTTAATTTTTCTAATTATTAAAATAAAATGTGATGCCCTGTTAGAAAACCAAGACTCTGGGTATCATTGGAGATCTGATTAGTAATATTGCCTCCTTAATGTTAAGTACCATACTTCTGTTAATGAAACTAATAATATCATACAATTTTTTTTGGCTTTCACATCATATTTTTTTCTCACACAGATCTCATTGTTAACTAAAAGTTCTGACTCATTATTACACAAGCTGTTGGAAAGACTTCCTTATTCTATCCATGGACATATTTTCTGTGTTCAAGTACAGAAGTATTTTATTTAATAATGTTATATTAATCTTATATTTTTCTTTCTGTCAATATTTTTGAATGCTGGTAATAACCATATATTTTGTTTCATGTGCCACTAGGAGTAATGCTAGCAAAATGATATACTAGAAAGCTCCAAGCTTTTGTTCTCTTATATAAACATTTTTAAACAGCAACAACAGCAAGTAGCAATTGATTTCACTGCTTTATCAGAGCTCTGAAAAGCAAAGTTTTACAGTAACCAAACAAATACCCAGTTAAAAGAGAGCTATCATCAAAAAAGAAGAATCTGTGGTACTTTTACTCTCCCTTGCCTAACTTCCTCCTTAGTTTGGTGGCTGTCTTGGTTATGAAGTGATAGCAGCTCAGTTCCCGGTTACCTCCCTTGAACTAAAGGGAGTTGATGACCTTATTTGCAAATTGGTATGTATATTTTTTTCTAACTTGCACGTAGGCTACTTAAACAACAGAAGAAAGGTGGACTTCTCAATTTTTCTATTGTGCATCTCTGATGGCCAAAGCAAAGGGCAATGCTTTCGAAGGCTTCAAGTAGACTGCGGACTCACAGAGGCTTGGGGCAAGAGTTTATGGAGACATACAATAGACCACCTAAGACATGGAGAAGAATCTGGGGCGTCACTCTTTAGGAAATTAGGATATTCAAAAGCAGACATGTATACAGGGGTATTTAGAAAAACACAAACATTCCCAAAAAAGATACATGCTCAGAAAAGTTTTAAGAAGACCATAAACTTTCACCTTGAACTGATCTCTAGTCTTAGAAAAAGTCTAGCTAAGTGCTGAAGTGCCCTAGCACAGAGCCAATCAACAAGAACTAGGAAAATTGGGAGTTTTTCTGATTCTCTCTTTTATGGAATTTTTACTGTTTCTTTTAGTTTCTGGTACTTAAGAAAATATTTATCAAAATGTTAGCTTCACACCAGTTGAAGAAAAAGGGACTATAGTGATAGCAAATGACAAGGAATAGTCTTTGCAAAAATAGTTTGAAAAAGTCTCAAAATAGACTATGGCCTTCAACAAGTTGAAAAAAAAAAAGCCAGCAATCTCTAGAGAAGGAGAGGAAAACAGTTTTTATACTTACAACATTATAATAGTCAAATGCCAAATCATTCACATGAAAATATCAATTTATGCAAAGAAACAGGAAAACACGGAACGCTGAAGTAACAACAATGAACAATTGTCTCTTATAAAGATTAGACATCAGACTAAATAGAAAGTTCCTTGAAAACAACTATCTTAAATATTCCTAAAATGTTAAATGATAACATAAAGAACTAAAAATATCATAAAAATTATATGAGAATAAAATGAGCTTATCAATGATGAAATAAAAACCATAAAAAATCTGACAAAATTTCTGGAAATGAAAAGTATAATAACTAAAATTTAAAAGAAGTTATACAAGTAGCTCAACAGCCATTTTGAGCAGAAAAAAGAAGAAATTATTATACCTAAATAAAAAAGTGCAAATAGCATATTCAAAGGAGCAGAAGGAAAAATGAACACAGCCTAAGGAACAGGTGGACACCATCACGTGGACCAATATTTGTAATATGACAATCCAGAAGAAGAAGAGAGAGACAACAATGCAAAGAGATTTTTTAAAAGAAATAATGGCCCCAGACAGGTGCAGTGGCTCATGCCTATAATCCCAACAATTTAGGAGGGAGGCCAAGTTTGGGCAGATCGCTTGAGCCCAGGAGTTTGAGACCAACCTAGGAAACAGGCCAAAGCTCCATCTCTACCAAATATGTATATATACAAAACTAGCCAAGCGTGGTGTTGCATGCATGCAGTCTCAGCTACACTGGAGACTGAGATGGGAGGATGGGTTGCACCCATGAGGCAGAGATTGCAGTGAGCTGTGATCATGCCATTGTGCTGCAGCCTGGGCAACAGAGCCAGACCTTGCCTCAAAAAAATAAAATAAATAAATAAATAAATAAATAAATAAACAGGAATCATTGACCCAAATTTTGGAAATTTAACGAAATACATAAATGTATGAATTCAAGAAGCTCAATGAAATTCAACCAGTATAATCCCAAAGACACCAAGACTGAGATATATCGTAGTCAAACTGTTGAACACAAAGGGCAAAAATACTGTGAGCAGAAAAAAAAAAAGTGACTCATCACATATATGGATCCTAAACATGATTATCAGCCAATCCCACATTCAAAATGTTGAAGGCCCCAAAGCATTTGGATAATATGTTTAAACCACTAAAATAATAAAACAACAACAAATAATTAACCAAAAATTCTGCATCTTGCAGCTGGGTAAGGTGGCTCACGCCTGTAACCCCAGCACCTTGGGAGGCCAAGGCAGGTGGGTCGCCTGAGGTCAGGAGTTCAAGACCAGCCTGGCCAACATGGTGAAACCCTGTCTCTACAAAAAACACAAAAATTAGCCAGATGTGGTGGTGGGCTCCTGTAATCCCAGCTACTCAGGAGGCTGAGGCAGGAGAACTGCTTGAACCAGGGAGGTGGAGGTTGCAGTGAGCCGAGATCGTGCCATTGCATTCCAGCCTGGCAACAGACCAAGAATCCATCTCAAAACAAACAAACAAACAAATTCCACGTCTTGCAAATTCATCTTCCAAAATGAAAGAAAAACTGACACTCCCCCAGAAACAAAACTTGCGGATATTTATAACCAGTAGACTTGCCCTACAAAAAATGGAAAATAGGATCATTCAAGTTTAAAACAAAATGCAATATGGTAATTTGAATCCATTTCAATAAAGATCACCAGTAAAAAGACATGAGCAAAACTAAAAGTCAATATTGTAATTTTAGTTTGTAACCACACTTTTATTTTTTACATGATTTTAACAACAAATACATAAGAAGATTAACAAGCTATATAATCAGGCACATAGTGTGTGAAGATGCAATTTGTGATGTCAATAACATAAATGGGAGCAGAGCTTTATAGGAGTTGCGTTTTTGTATGTTATTGAAGTAAAGTTGTTAACAATTCAAGTTAGATTGTTATCACATATGGAATTTAGCTATAATCCCAATGGTGACCACAAAAAATTCTATAGAATATACACAAAGGAAAGTGAGAAGGAAATAAAATACGTCACTATAAGAAATCAACTAAACACAGAAGGCAGTAATGAAGAAACTGAGGTACAAACACGCTAGTAGACATATAGAAAATAAGTTGCAAAATGGTAGAAGTGGGACTTTTCTTATCTGAAACTACATTAACTGTGAGTAAATAAAGGTGGCTAATGAAATGTGGAGATTGGTAGAAAAAATGTTTTTAATGATCTATTACATAATTAAATATATGTGATCCCTTTTAGATCCAAAGGCAAAATATGTTGAAAGTACAGAAAAAGATATTTCATTCAAATAGAAACTGAAAAAGAAAAGCTGAGGTATAAACGCCAATATCAGACAAAATAAACGTTAAGAGGAAATTATTCCAAAAGAAAAAGAAGAGCATTAAATATTGGGAAGAAGATTAATTCACAAAGAAGATATAAGAATTGAAAACATATATGAACTTAACAACGGAGATCTAAACTCTATGGAGCAACCACTGACAAAATTGAAGAAATGGTTCTACAGTAATAGTTGGAGATTTTAATGCCCTGCATTTTTTAATTTCTGCTTTTATTGAAGTATAATTGACAATTTAAAATTTGGATATATTTAAGGTGTACAATGGAGCTTTTTTATATAAATATACCTGTGTAATGAATCCCACAATCAAGCTAATTAACATGGGCATAATTTACATAGTCACAATATTTTGTGGTGAGAACTTACAATCTTTTTTATTCCTGTAAAGCCATTAGTAATATTCTTTCATTTTAATTTTAATAATTTGGATCTTCTTTTTTTTTTCTTGGTCAGTCTCACTAAAAATTTGTCAGTTTTATTTATCATTTCACAGAACAAACTTTTTATTGCATTTTCTCTCCATTTATTCTTTGTCAATTTTATTTATCTCCATTCTAATCTTTATTATATTTTCCCTGATCTGTCTTTCTATTTAGCTTGCTCTTCTTTTCTTAGTTCCTTCACAGTGTACATTTAGGTTATTGACTTGAGGTCTTTCTTCTTTTACACTGTATCTGTTTACAGCTATAAATATCTCTCTTAACACTGCTTTACTTCTGTCTCATAAGTTTTGGTAGATTGCTTTTTGTTTTCATTTGGTATTTAAAAATCTCCTTTGTGATTTCTTCAATGACCCAATTGTTGTTTAATAGTGTGTAATTTAATTTCCGCATATGTATGAATTTTATAGTTTTTCCCTTTCATTAACTTCTAGTTTCATTCTATTGTAATAAAATTTATTTTAATATTTTCAAATAGATGAAGACTTCTTCTGTGGCCTGCATATGATCTATCCTGCAGAATGCTCCATGTGCAGTTGAGGAAATTGTGTATTCTGCTGTTGTTGGGGAATGTTCTATGTCTGTTACATTTAATTTGTTTATAGTACTTTTCATATCCATATATGCTCTTCTGACTGGAGATTATGTCTGTTATTGAAAGTAAAGTATTGACTTCTGAGTATATAGTCAAAAGAAAAAAATTGGTATCTTAAGCATATGTCTCCATTCTCATGTTCATTCTAGCCTTTTATTTCTTTTTTCCTTTATTATAAGTTATGTTTTTAAGCATGTTTCAAAAATAAATCAAGATATAGAAGTAACATAGGAGTCAATTAACAAATAAATTGATAATAAAATTTTGACACACACAAAATGGAATATAAAGGGTCATCAAAAAGTTGATAAAAATGCATATTGTAGAAAAAGTATTTATGAAATTTTATTTTTGCACCAAAGTAAACTTGTACTTACTTATTATAACATTTCTGAATGGGATCTGATTTGAAGGAGTAAAAAGGAAAATGTATCAGTTTGAAAAGAGCAACATGAATTTTTCCAAAATTGAAGCAAGAACAAACATCAAATTTATAGTGATGCTTGGGTGAAAGAAGGGTGATCTCATCGATGCTTTATGAAAAATGTATGGATAAAATGGCCCAAATAAGTAGCAGTTTACAAATAAATAAATTATTTTAAGAAGAGACCAAAGTTAAAGTCTGCTGTAGCAGACCATTCACATCAATTTGTAAGGAATAACTTAATCTTGCTTCTACTGTAATTGAAGAGGATGAGCAATTAACAGCAAAAACAGTAATCAATACCATAGACATCTTAGTTCATTAAACTTACACAATTCTGACTAAAAAATAAAAGTTGAGGAAACTTTTTATTTGACAATTGCCAAAACCATTGCACCCAAATCAGTTGCAGACAAAAAAGCAGAGCTTTTAATGGAAATTTTAAACAAGTGAGGTTAAGATCCTAAAGCACTTCTTGAAAGAGTTATAGCAAGCGATAAAACTGAAACACTTCTTTACCAGTACTATACTGAAGACAAAATACAATCAACATAAAGACTACTGAGAAGAGGACATGGTCTGGTTGAAGCAAAAGCAGACCAGTCAAGAACAAACATTATGGTCACACTTTTTTGGTAATCCTCAAGGCAGTTTGCCTGCTGACTTTCTAAAGGGCCAAACAATGATAACATCTGCTTATTATAGGAATGTTTTGAGAAAATTAGCGAAAGCTTTAGCAGAAGAATTTTCTATGAAAGCTTTAACCAGGGAGTCATCCTCTACTGTGACAATGATCCTGGTCATTTTTCTTATTAAGCAAGGGTAATTTTGTGTAAGTTTCAAAGGGAAATCATTAAGCATACACCTTACAGTTCTGATTTGGCTCCTTCTACCATCTTTTTCTTTCCCAGTCTTGAAAAGTCTTTAAAGGGCTCTCTTTTTTCTTCAGGAAATAACGTGATAAATACTTCATTGACTTGGTTAAATTCCCAGGACCCTCAATTATATAAGGAAAAACTAAGTGGCTTGTGTGATTATTTACACAAATGTCTTGTAGTTGATGAAGTTTATGTTAAGAAATACAGTTTTTATTTTTAATTTTTATCTGTGAAGTCAAATTTTTTATGAACTTTACAAAATTCCCTTTTGTCACTTCCTGTAGATTTCTAAGCCGAAATCTTTCAGGCCAGGAGAGAGTGGGATGCTATATCCAATTTGCTGAAGGACGAAAAAGAAATTCTTAATGAAGAATACTTGTCTCAGCAAAGTTGTCCTTTAAAACTAAAAAAGAAAAATACTTACAAAGAAGCAAAACTGGTGGGAATTCATCAACACTAGACCTCTCTCTCCTGTAAGAAATGCTAAGGGACTTTTTCAATCTAAAAGAAATAGATGATCATATGTGACAGGGAAAAATCTAATGGTATTATACTTAATCATAAATTAAAAAGAAAATTCAGAATACTGTAATATTGTAATTGGAGTAAGTAAGCCACATACATCCCACATATGAAGACTAAGAGAAAAAATTAAAAGCTGAGCGTAGTGGCTCATGCCTGTAATCCCAGAACTTTGGGAGGCCAAGGGAGGTGGATTGCTTGATGTCAGGAGTTCAAGACCGGCCTTGACAACATGGCGAAACCACAGCTCTACAAAAATTCACTGGGCATTGTGGCACATGCCTGTAATCCTAGCCACTCTGGAGGCTGAGGCAGGAGAATCGCTTGAACCCAGGAGGTGCAGGTTGCCAAGCTCACGCCACTGCACTCCAGCCTGTGCAACAGAGTGAGACTCCATCTAAATAAAAAACAAATTAAAATCAATCATAACTAATTGTTTAAGAGATTGGTCATATAAACAGATGTAAATAGAAACATTAATAAGTAAAAATGTGAAAGGGTGATGATATATTAGGTGTAGAGTTCATTGTTGTTACTTTTCTATACTTGGCAGTCAAACAAGTCTTTATTATTTTAAAATAACATAGGTATAATAAGTGTTTTAAACTTCATGGTAACCATTATGCAAAAACGTGTAACGTATACACTAAAAGTAAATAGCATAAAATCAAAATGTACTGCCTGAGAAAAATCACTGAACCACAAATGAAGATAATAAAAGAAAATAAAAAAAAATAGAATTTGCACAACAACCAGAAAATAAGTAATAAAATGTCAATAGTAAATCCTTATCTATCAGTAATAATCTTCAATGTGATTGTATTGAATTCATCATTTTTAAAACATTGGGTGGTTGAAAGAATAAAAATTACAAGACTCAGCTATGTGTTGTCTACACGAAACTAATTTTAACTATATAGACATGTACAAATCAAAAGAGAAGCACTGCAAAAAAAATCCATACAAAGAGGCATTTACAAAGAGCAGGAGTACCTGTAATTAGAGTAGATGGAATAAAGTTTAAGTAAGAAGTGGTTAAGAAAAGACAAGTCTATTATATAATGATGAAGTGCTAAATGCTGCAAGAGAATATAAATTATAAATATATGCACCCAACACAAAGCACACAAATATATAGAAAATATTAATAGACCTAAAAGAAGATATTAACTTTATTACAATAATAGCAGGAAACTTCAACACCTCAACTTTGGCAATAGACAGATCATTCAATCAAAAATTAACATGGAATAATTGAATAATTGGATGTAAATTGCACTCTAGAGCAAATGGGCCAAGCAGACATTTACAGGACAATACATCTAACAGCCACAAAATACAAATTTTGCTCAACAGTCCTTGGAATATTCTCTAGGGTAGACCATATGTTTGGTCATAATACAAGTTTTAAGAGATTTTAAAACTATCAAAATGATGTCAAGTATCTTTTCTGAACATAATGGAATAGAATTAGAAATTGATAACAGAAGAAATGTTGGAAATTGTACATATTCACGAAAACTAAATGGCAAGAACAACTAATAGGTGAACAAATAATTATTTAAAAAAATTAAAATATGTTTTAGACAAAAGGAAATGTAAACACAACATGCCCAAACCTATGGGAGACAGCAAATGCAACATTAAGGGAGAAGTGTATGAGAAAAAACACTTGCATCAAAAAAGTCGGAAGGCTCAAATAAACAACTAAATGATGTGCTCAAAAAACTAGAAAACATGAACAAACTAAACTCATAATTAGTAGAAGAAAAAAGTAATAAAAATCAGCATAAAAATATGCGAAACTGAGACTAAAATGATGCAAAAGAGCAAAGAAACAAAAGCTTGATTTTGTGAAAAGATAAAATCAAAAAAGTTTAGCTAGACAAAGTAAGAAAAAATGTGAGAATACCTAAATAAATTAAAATTACACAAAAAGAAGAAGACATTAAAACTTATACCATTGAAATACAAAGGATTATTAGAGACTATTACAAACAAATATTTGAAAATAAAATGAAAACCTAGAAAAATGGATTATGTAACACATAAATGACACCAAGAAAGAAACATGAAGAAATAGAAAACCTAAACAAAACAATAATATGTAACATGATAGAAACAGTAATTAAAAGTCTATCAAAGAAAAGTATAGGATTTGATATCTTAAATATACCAAACATTTTAAAAAGAGTACTAATTCTACTCAAACTATGTAAATATACTGAAGCAAAGGAAATACTTCCAAGCTCATTACATGAAGCCAGCATTACCCTGTTAACAAACCAGACAGAGACAACAGAAAAAAAAAAGAAAAACTACAGAATTAAGAGCCATGATAGATGGTTCTCTTATTTCTGAGAGCTTTATTCTGTTCCATTGACCTGTGTGTCTACAACCCATCTGATCTTCAATGAACCTGACAAAAACAAGAAATGGGGAATGTATTCCCTATTTAATAAATGGTACAGGGTAAACTGGCTAGCCACATGCAGAAAATTGAAACTGGACCCCTTCCCTACACCTTATACAAAAATTAACCCAAGATGGATTAAAGACTTAAATGTAGAACCCAAAACTAGAAAACCCTGGAAGAAAATCTAGGCAATACCATTCAGTACATAGGCACGGGCAAAGATTTCATGACACAAACATCAAAAGCAATTGCAATGAAAGTAAAAATTGACAAATAAGATATAATTAAAGAGCTTCTTCATCGCAAAAGAAGCTATCATCAGAGTGAAAGATAACTCACACAATGGGAGAAAATGTTTGCAATCTATCCATCTGCCAAAGGTCTAATACTCAGAATCTACAAGGAACTTAAATTTACAAGAGAAAGACAAACAGCCTCATTAAAAAACTGGGCAAAGGACATAAACAAACACTTCTCAAAAGAAGATATTTATCCAGCCAACAAACATATGGAAAAAAGCTCAACATCACTGATTATTAGAGAAATGCAAATCAAAACCACAATGAGATACAATCTCATGCCAGTAAGAATGGTGATTATTAAAAAGCCAAAAAACAACATATGCTGGCTAGGCTGTGCAGAAATAGGAATGCTTTTAAATTGTTGGTAGGAAAGTAAATTAGTTCAACCATTGTGGAAGACGGTGTGGCGATTCTTCAAGGACCCAGAGCCAGAAATACCATTTGACCCAGCAATTCCACTACTGGTTTTATACCCAAAGGACTATAAATTATTCTATTATAAAGATACTTGCATGTGTATGTTGATTGCAGCACTTTTCACAATAGCAAAGACATGGAATCAACCCGAATGCCCGTCAATGATAAACTGGATAAAGGAAATGTGGTACATATACACCATGGAATACTATGCAGCCATAAAAAGAATGAGATCATGTCTTTTGCAGGGACATGGATGGAGCTGGAAGCCACTATCCTCAGCAAACTAAAACAGGAGCAAAAAACCAAACACTACATGTTCTTACTTATAACTGGGAGCTGAACAATGAGAACACATGGACACAGGGAGGGGAACAACACACACTAGGGCCTGTCAGGGGGGCAGGGGGAGTGAGAGCATCAGGATAAATGGCTAATGCATGTGGGGCTTAATACCTAGGTGATGGGTTGATAGGTGCTGCAAACCACTATTGCACACATTTACCTATGTAACAAACCTGCACCTCTTGCACATGCATCCCAGAACTTAAAATAATTAAAAAAAAAAAAAAAGCCATGATAAGAAACTAGATGCAGCCAGGAAGAGATTATTCCACCGAGAGAGAACAGACCATGAAGTCGACTGGCATACTCTGAAAAAATTCTTCAAAAAAAGTCATTGAGAGTAGAGGGAGGGAGTTTGCAAACCCCAGGCTGGAAGGAGAGAAACCTGGGAAGCATGCACATGTTTGCCATACACCAGGTTCTGTTTCTGGCCCTGAGAAGATGCTGGGGAAAAGAGTGAGTAAAATAGGTCAGAAGGATTGCCCACTATCACCTTGGTCCTCCAGAATCTTAGCTGCAAGAAACCCTTTAATCTCCATGGACACTACACCTGGTGGGGGGAACTGTCTGGAGAGTGGGCAGGGGCAGAACTCTAGTGTGCAAGGATCCCAGAGTGTTTGGCATGAAAATGCCTGCTGTGGAGCATGGCCTGGGTGCCCATCCCCGAAGACTCACCATGCTTCTCTAGGTGGCTTTAGCATTTGTTGGATGCAAGACATAGACAGAGAAGAGCTATCTTGCCTGTGGGAGGGGGCCAGTCTGACCTGAGCACACACCCTGTTCAGCTGGTCTATACCAGGGTCCCCACAGGACCAAACTTGTGTAGCCTCTGCTACCAAGCCAAGGTGCTTTCTAGTGGCCACTACCATAGCTCTTTTGCTGAAATACCCTGCCTAAGAGAAAGTTTCTGCATTTGAGCCCCTGCTGATGAGCAGCTGCATTCAGCCCTCCTCCATTGGCATGTAGTCACCCACAACTGTAAACTACTGCTTCATCAGTATGAGCATGGACCCATGGCCACCTACCACCACTGGTGCATCCACACATGTAAACCTCTGCCACCGACCACACACCCGCTAAAGCATTTTTGCCAGTATTCCTCATTAGAGTGTTCTTGCCCATGGACTGGTAACACATCTACCCCTCCAGCATAATAGATTATTTTAAACATTTATTTTATTTTATTTTATTTTATTTATTTTATTTTTATTTCCATAGGTGTTGGGGGAACAAGTGGTGTTTGTTTACATAAGCTCTTTAGTGGTGATTTCTAACATTTGGTGCACCCATCACCTGAGCAGTATACACTGTATCCAATTTGTAGTCTGTTATCTCTCACTATGCTCCCACAATTTCCCCTGAGTACCCAAAGTCCATTGCATCATTGTTATGCCTTTGCATCCTCATAACATAGCTCCTACTTAAGAATGAGAACATACAATGTTTGGTTTTCCATTCCTGAGTTACTTCACTTAGAATAATGGTCTCCAACTCTATCCAGTTTGCTGTGAATGCCATTATTTCCTTTCTTGTATGGCTGAATAGTATTCCATCATTCCTATACATATATCACAATTTCTGCATCCTCTCATTGACTGATGGGCATTTGGGCTAGTTCCATATTTTGGCAATTGCGAATTGTGCTGCTATAAACATGTGTGTGCAAGTATCTTTTTTGTATAATTACTTCTTTTCCTCTGGGTAGATAGGCAGTGGTGGTATTGCTGTATCAAATTGTAGTTCTACTTTTAATTCTTTAAGGAAACTTCACACTCCTTTCCATAGTGGTTGTGCTAGTTTACATTCCCACCAGCAGTGTAAAAGTGTTCCCTTTTCACTGCATCCCTGTCAACATCTATTATTTTTTGATTTTTGATTATGGCCCTTCTTGCAGGAATAAGGTGGCATTGCATTGAGGTTTTGATTTGTAGTTCCCTGATCATTAGTAATGTTGAACATTTTGTTTGTTGGTGTATCTTCTTTTGAGAATTGTTGATTCATGTACTTAGCCCATTTTTTGATGGGATTGTCTGTTTTTTATCTTGCTAATTTGTTCAAGTTCCTTGTAGATTTTGGATATTAGTCCTTTGTCAGATGTATAGATTGTGAAGATTTTGTTCCACTCTGTGGGTTTTCTGTTTACCCTGCTGATTGTTTCTTTTGCTGTGCAGAAACTTTTTAGTATAATTAAATCACCTATTTATCATTGTTTTGTTACATTTGCTTTTGGGTTCTAGGTCATGAAGCCTTTGCCTAAGCCAATGTCTAGAAGAGTTTTTTGGATATTATCTTCTCGAATTTTTATGGTTTTAGGTCATATATTTAAGTTCTTGATCCGTCTTGAGTTGATTTTTGTGTAAGTTGAAAGATAAGGATCCAGTTTCATTCTTCTACATGTGGCTTGTGAATTATCCAAGTACCATGTGTTGAATAGAGTGTCCTTTCCCCACTTTGTTTTTCTGTTTGCTTTGTCGAGGATCAGGTTGCTTTAAGTGTTTGGGTATATTTCTGGGTTCTCTATTCTGTTACATTGGTCAATGTGCCTATTTTTATACCACTACCATGCTGTTTTGGTGACTATGGCCTTTTAGTATAGTTTGACTTCAGGTAATGTGATACCTCCAAATTTGTTCTTTATGCTTAGTCTTGCATTGGCTATGTGGGCTCTTTGTTTGTTTATTTCATATGAATTTTAGAAGTGCCTTTTCTAGTTCTGTGAAGAATGATGGTGGTATTTTAGTGGAAATTTCATTGAATTTTTAGATTGCTTTTGGCCACATGGTCATTTTCACAACATTGATTCTACCCATCCATGAGCATGGGATGTGTTTCCATTTGTTTGTGTCATCTATGATTTATTTCAGCAGTGTTTTGTAGTTTTCCTTTAGAGGTCATTCACCTCCTTGGTTAGGTGTATTCTTAAGGATTTTATTTATTTATTTATTTATTTTTGTGCAGCTATTGTAAAGGGGATCGAGTTCTGGATTTGATTCTCAGTTTGGTTGCTCTTGGTATGTAACAGAGTAACTGGTTTATGTACATTAATTTTGTATCCTGAAACTTTGCTGAATTCATTTATTAGTTCTAGGAGCTTTTTGGATCAGTCTTTAGGGTTTTTTAGTTATATGATCACATCATCAGCAAACAGTGACAGTTAGACTTCCTCTTTACTGATTTGGATTCACTTTATTTCTTTCTCTTGTCTGATTGCTCTGGCTAGGACTTCCAGCACCATTTGATTCTTAACCTTGAAGGCCAGAGTAAAAAGCCAAGGGTTTTGTGCCAGACCATCCCCACCCCCGAGTTGGAGGACAAACTCCAGGAGTCCTCAACTGAGGCTTGGCTGCCTGAAATCATCCAGAAATAGACAATCAACTAAACCCAACTTAAATTACAATCAAGACCTCAAGGGCCTCAAAGAATATACAATCAAAAATCCCCAACTGAAGGACAGCAACTTCAAAGATGAAAGGAACACCCACCCAAGCAGATGAGACCAGTGCAAGAAGTCTGGCAACTCTAAAACCCAGGGTGTTTTACCTTCAAATGACTGGACTAGCTCCCTAGAAATGTTTCTTAACTAGACTAAAATGGCTGGAATGACAGACATAGAATTCAGAATCTGGATAATAATGAAGATCAAAGATACTTAGGAGAAAATTAAAACCTAATTTAAGAAATATAAGGAATGTCATAAAGTGATACAAGAGTTGCAAAATAAAAAAAAAAATTTTAAGAAACAACCAAACTGATCTTCTAGAGCTAAAAAAAATTACTACAAAAATTTCATAATACAAGCACAAGTTATTAACAGCAGAATAAATCAAGCTGAGAAAAGAAACTTAAAGCTCAAAGACTGATCCGTGTATCAAGTCAGCCAGACAAAAATAATTTTAAAAAATTAAAAATGAACAAAACCTCTCAGAATTATGGGATTACATAAGGAGACTAGACCTATAACACATTGGCATACCAGAAAAAGAGGGAGAGAGAGCAAGCCATTTGGAAAACATATTAGAGTAATTGTCCACAAAAATTTTTCCAACCACACTAGAGAGGTGAACATGCAAATACCAAAAATTCAGAGAAACTAGGTGAGATACTGTACTGGAAGACCATCCTCAGGTAACGTAATCATATTCTCCAAGGTCAACATGAAACAAAAGTTAAAGGCAGCTAAGGAGAATGGACATGACACCTACAAAGGAAACCCCATAAGGCTAAGAATAGACCTTTTAGCAGAAAACCAACAAAGCAGAAGACAAAGGGGGCCTATGTTTAGCATTCTTAAAAAAATTTCAGTGAAGAATTTCATGTTCAGGTAAACTAAGATTCATAAAGGAAGGAGAAATAAATTATTTTTTAGGCAAGTAAACATTAAAAAGTTGTTACCACCAGATGGGCCTTACAAAAGATCCTTAAGAGAGAGCTAAATGTGGAAATGAATGGTAAGTATTGGCAACAATAAAACATACTTAAGGATATAGCCCGCTGACACCATATACAACAACTATGCAATCAAGTCTGCATAACAACCAGCAAACGACACAATGACAAGATGAAATTTTCAGGTATCAATATTAACCTTAAACATAAATAAGCTAAATGTTCCAATAATAAAAAAAAGAGTCACAAGCTGAAAAAATAAGTAAGACCCAACTGTATGCTATATTGAAGAAATCCATCCACCTTGCAATGATACCCATAGTTTATTTAAAGGTAGTATGATGGAGAAAGATATCTCAAGCAAACAGAAAACAAAAGGGAGCAGGGATAGCTATTTTAATTTAAGAGAAAGCACACTTTAAACCAACAGCAATCAAGAACAACAAAGAAGGGCATTACATAATAACAAAAGGTTCAATTTAATGAGATGACTTAGCTATCGTTAATATATATGAACCCAACCTTAGAGCACCCAGATTCAATAAAACTAGTTTCTAGAGACATATAAGGAGACATAGATACCAACCCAATGATAGTGGAAGATTTCAACACCTCACTGACAGTGTTAGACAAATCGACAAGGCAGAAAACTAATGAAGGTATCTGAGACCTGAACTCAACATTTGACCAAATTGACCTAGCATACATCTATAGGACTTTGCACCCAACAACAGAATATGCATTCTTCTCATCTCCACATTGGCATATAATCTAAGATTGACCACATGGTCAGCAATAAAGCAATTCTCAAAAAATTTTTAAAAACCATGCAAACAACACTCTTGGACCACACAGCGCAATACAAATCTAAATTAATACAAAGAAGATCTCTTAAAATTATACAATAACATAAAAAATGAAAAACCTACTTCTAAATGATTTGGGAGTAAAAAATGAAATTAAGGCAGAAATCAAGAAATTATTTGTCATTAATGAAAACAAAGATACCACATACCAGCATCTTTGGGATACACCTAGTGCAGTCTTAAGAGGAAAGTTAATAATACAAAACACCCACAAAAAAGGCAGAAATATCTCCAATTAACAGCTTAACATCAGACCTAGAGGAACAAACAAAAAAAAAAAAAACAAAGGAAACTATCCACAAAGCTAGCAGGAGAAATAAAATTTCTTCTGAAATTTTCTTCTGAAATTTCTTCTTCAAGAAATATTATTTCTCTGAAATTTTATTTATTGTGAAATTTCATTTATCTTGCTAGTTTTGTGGATGGTTTGATGTTTCACATTCAAATTTCATTCATTTCACCTCTGATTTGAAATTTCAACCAGCTGACCTGAATAAAATTGAGATGTGAAAATTTAAAAAAAAAAGATCAAATGAAACAAAAGTATGTCCTTTGAAGGAATAAATGAAATTGAAAAGTCACCAGCTAGACAAAAAAAAAAAGAGAGAAGATCCAAAAGAACACCATCAGAAATCACAAAGAGGACATTATCACTATCCGTACCCCAAATACAGAAATCCTCAGATACTGTTATGAATACCTCTATGCATAAAAACTAGAAAACCTACATGAAATGGATAAATTCCAGGAAAATTGCTACCTCCCAAAATTGAACCAGGAAGAAATTGAATTTCTGAAGAGACCAACATTGAGCTCTTAAATTGAATTAGTAAGAAAAAGCCTAACAACCAGAAAAAGCCCAGATCCAGATGGATTCACAGTCAAATACTACCAGATGTATATAAAAAGGTACTATTTCTACTTATTCTATTCCAAAAACTGAGAAGGAGGGACTCATTCCTAACTTATTCCATAAGTCTAGCATCATTCTGATATAAAAACCTGGCAAAAACACACACACAAAAGAAAATTTCAGGTCAATATCTCTAATAAGTATAGACGCAAAAATTCTTTACAAAATATTGGCAAACTGCATCCAGCATCATACCAAAAAGCTAATCCACCATGATAAAGTAGGCTTTATGTCTGAGATGCAAGGTTGGTTTAAAATATGCAAATTAATAAATGGGATTCATCACATTAAGATAACTAAAAACAACACGTGATAATCTGAATAGATGCAAAAATGCTTTTGATAAGACTAAACATCTTTTCATGTTAAAAGTCATCAAGAATCTAGGCATTTAAGGAACGTACCTTAAAATGAAAAGAGCCATCTATGACAAACCCAAAGCCAACATTACACTGAATTGGCAAAAGCCTGAAGTATTGCCTCTTGAGAACCAAAAAAAAAAAAAAAAAAAAAGACGAAGACGTCCACTGTAACCACTCCTATTAAATATTGCACTAAAATTCCTACCAGAGCAATCAGTAAGAAGAAATAAACAAAAAGCACCCGAGTGGGAAGACAGGAAGCAAAACTATCTCTTTTCATGCATGAGATGGTTAGATACCTAAAAAACCTGATCGTCTTTGCCCAAAGGCTCATAGAATTGAATAAAAACAAAACAAACTTCAGGCCAGAAACAGTGGCTCATGCCTCCAATCTCAGCACTTTGGGAAGAAAAGGTGGGTAGATCACTTGATGTCAGGAGTTTGAGACCAACCTGGCCAACATGCTGAAACCCTCTCTCTACTAAAAATACATGAATTAGTCGGGCATGGTGGCAGGTGTCTGTAGTTTCCGCTACTTGGGAGGCTGAGACACAAGAAGCGCTTGAACCCGGGAGGAGAAGATTGCAGTGAGCCACAAAAAACAAAAACAAAACAAACTTCTGTAAAGCTTCATGATGCACAATTAATCTATGAAATTAGATTAATCTATCAGTAGCATTTGTATACACCAAAAACTTCCAAACTGAAAGACCAATCAAGAATGCAATGCCATTTGCAATAGACAAAAAATGAATAAAATACCTAGGAAAACAGCTAACCTGGGAGGTGAAAGATAACTACAATGAGAATTACAAAACACTGCTGAAAGAAATCAGAGATAACACAAACAAATGGAAAAATATTCCAAGCTTGTGGATAAGAAAAATGTATATCATTACAATGGCCATACTACCCTCAGCAATTTACAAATTCAACGTTATTCTTATCGAACTACCAATGATATTCTTCACAGAAATAGAAAAATAAAACTATTCTAAAATTTATGCAAAACTAAAAAGAGCCCTAATAGCCAAAGGATTCCGAAGTAAATAAAAACAAAGCCAAAAGAATTAACACTACCTGACTTCATGCTACACTATAAGTCTACAGTAATCAAAACAGTATGGTACTGGTACAAAACCAGACACAGACCAATGGAACAGGTCAGAGAAACCAAAAATACAGCTGCACACTTAACAGTCATCAGATCTTTGACAAAGCTGATAATAACAAGCAATAGTGAAAGGACTTTCTATTCAATAAATAGTGCGGAGATAACTGGCTAACTATCAAGATGGCGGTAGCGGGCCACCCGGAAAGGCCACTGTCGTCATGCTGGCTGAAGCAAGGAGATGCAGGCAGTGACGGCAGTGGTGGCTGCGAGAGCAGCAATGGTGGCGGTGGGTTCCCTCTGCCCCGCGATTCCAAGGCAGCCGACTGCCATGAGTGGCTGGGTGGGACCAGCTCCCAGGTCTGGAGTCTCCGCTGCTCCAAATTCAGCCCTGCGTTGCCATTCTCGCTCAGCGCTGCTTCGGGGAGGGTAGGGGGAAGAGGCAGAGCTCTGCCGGGAGCAGTGCTGCACTCCACAGAGCCAGCAGGAGCCAGAGAGGAGTGGGAGCCACCAGAGAGCCCATCTCCCTGGGGGTTGCCACAGTGGGGTTGGGTTGAGCATCCCACTGGAGGGGGAGCAGAGAGGTCAGGCATGAGGGGTGGACAGAGAGGCACCCAGCAAGGATCCAGAGCCCCCATCCCAGGCTGCGAGGAGGCATGGCCAGGGCTGCCTGCATCCCCCATGGAGCAGATTAGAGCCCTGCCCTCCAAGGTACAGGACCCGGCTGTCTCTGGACTCTACACCCTTGGGGTCCTGGGAAGATCCCTCTGCCCCGACAGGCTTTGGGATTTCTGCTACTGCTGCCTGGCTTCTCCCTGCTCTCAGTGCCTACTCCAAACTTGGAGCAGGTTTGGGGCCAAGCTCAGGCAGTGTTACAGCCCAGGCAGGTATGTGCATGTGTGGGGCATCACTGACATGTCAGTCCCCTGCTGCCTTGGCCACCTCTAGACTTTGGGCACCAATGAGCATGGCGGGGAAACTGAGGAATGGTGTTGATGGCAGCTCAGCGCTGGCCTGCATGTGCCACTTGGCGCGAACAGCCTGGGCACCATGGACAGTGTCAGGAGGAAGACAGGCTCCTGGGTGGAAGTGGTTGAGTCCCTGGTAAGGCCCCACATTCAGGCCAGGGAGGACATGAAGGCTGGGGCCTGGGCTGCCTGTCCTGTGTACCTGAGTGGAAGATTGTGGTGCCTTTTTCAGGTGCACCCATGGCTGACTATGGACGAATCAGTGCACACTTCCTCCCCTCTGAGTTCCATAAAAGTCCTGGGCTCAGCCTGAGCAGAACAGAGGATCAGACAACCAGCTGCAGAAAGGGGATACCCTCTCTGCTGGGAGTGAAAACTTGTAATGACCAACCTACAAAGAGGAGCTACCCTCTCTGCTAGGAGCTGAACACTTAATGGAACACCCTGGCTGTGAAAAGGAGCTGCCCCCTGTGGAAGACTGAGCTGTTCTATTGCTCAATTAAAGCTCCTCTTCATTTTGCTCACCCTTCACTTGTCTACATACCTTATTTTTCCTGGTCACAGGACAAGTACTTGGGACCTTCCAAATGGCAAGGCTAAAAGAGATGTAACACAAACAGGACTGAAACATGGTCCTTGCTTGCCATGTTGTGGATAAAGAGAAGGAGAGAAGTGCTGCGGCCCTTTGGCAAGCCAAGACCTGGGAGCTCCCCAGGCCAGGGCTGTGACTCCTTGGGGGCCCTGCAGTTCCTTGCTTCTCCAAGCTTCCGAGTGCCACTGTACTCCCTGGTGCCAGCTGGGGAAGCTGCTTGCAGTGTGCGTGGTCTATTTGCAGTTTCACAGGGAGCCAGCACCCATGCCAGCACCTGGAGCTGCCCATCCTGTGGCAGATGCCAGCATGTGTGACTATGCAGTAGCCAGACCCCACACTCGATCACACACCCCTTGCCGCTCCATGCCTGACTTGTAGTCTTCATTTAGAGGCATAGATCCAGGCCGGTAGCATGAGCTGGGTGCAGCCTGCCAGGCTGTGTGGGTGGAACGAGCTCAGCAGGCCTGAGCAAAATTCAGGCAAAGGCATCACTGGCCACAGGTTTCTGGCCAGAAAAACAATACCCCCAAGATTCTGTAACATTTTTTGTGCTTGTCCAGGATCTGTGGAAGGGTGAGTAAAAGTGGACTTGCTGCTCTCTCCTTTATTCAGATTCCCTAAACTCCACAATAGCTAACGTGAAATAAAAATACCTGGCCTCTGTCAGCCAGTTAATGGCAACTGATGAGGTTACTGGACTCAAGATACATAAGACAGACTTGCTGGGGCGGACACTGTCAATTCCCTATCACCCTCGGGTGTTGGGAGCATTGGCTTTGTTCCAATCAGTTTCCCTTCATGGAGGTCTAACTGTCACATGTGACCAGAAAGAAGGTCCTGGGGTAACTGAGGTTATTTGGCCAACGCTACACCTCAGTGTTATCGAAAGCCCACGGACTAACTCCTGTCCCTGACCACCCGTTAAGGTGTTGGCACTAAGACCTCCAGTCTGTCCCTTCCTTCCTTCCATCCTTCCTTCCTTCCTTTCATGGCTGTCATGGCTTCTATCTCTTCTTTATATACAATGTTAAGAATTTTGCAAACAACAGAGATAATATTACTGGGTATAATAAGCATTTGGCTTAGTCATCAAAAGTATAAAATGGAAGATTAAGAGTAGCACAGATGAAGCAAAGTGTGCCTTGGTATCTGTACATAAATTTGTGGTGGAAATGTTCTTGTCATTTCCTAGGTTTCCAACATAGCGCCAAGCATCTTGAGGCAAAAAAAAAGAAGTATGGCTTCAAGAAGGAAGCATTAATTTCAATACCATCCTACAGCTGGACATTTTCTGTAAATGCAAGGGCAAATGGTCCAAGGTTCCATATGTATGGGCCTTTGCCTTGCAGGGTTATCCAGAACTAGACCTTTGCCAGTGTTGTAGGATTGATTCAACCCTCCTCGCAGCCATCTCAGGAGAGACTGCAAGGGCAATTCCAAGGAATTAGGGAAGCAAACACCAGAGGTACCTCTAGCAGGGCAATCAACCCCCTTTGCTCCTCCCTATCCAGGTTCTGTCTTAAGCTTGCCTAAGCCTAGAAATCCTTGCTTTAGGCCGTTCCCAGTTTCAACTGTCCCTACAACAAATGCCTGGTGAATACAACCTTATTAAGGGCCAGGTCCTCTTTTCTCTACGGGACTTAAGGAAAATTTTGGCAAGTTTTCAGATGGCCCTGACAGGTATACAGAGGCTTTCCAGAACTTACCCCAAATATTTGAACTCCCTTGGAAGAATGTCTTTGAATCAAACCCTGACTACCACTGAAAAGCAGGCTGTCCTGTAAGCAGCAGATAATTTTGAGAATGAGCTGTGTATCTCTTATAGGGCCAGGGAAGAGGATAAAACTTATCTGATTGGAAGAATAGAAGTACCGTTGAAAGACTCTAAATTAGACTCCAATAATAAAATAGGAGAATGGGAAAGGAAACACTTTCATATGTGTATACTGGAGGGCTTAAGAAGGACTAGTATTAAGCCTCTGAATTACACCAAGCTAACTATGGTAGACCAGGGATTAGACGATAATACCACTGCCTTCCTGAAAAGTCTGTGAGAGACCTTGGTAAAACACAACTCTCTATCCGCTGATTCAGTAAAGTATAGCTAGTCCTAGGGGATGACTTTATCACACAAGTAGCCTCTGATGTCAGGAAGTGGCTGCAGAAATGGGCTGTGGGACTAGATGGTACTTTGGAGGGCCTCCTGAGAATGGCCACCTCAGTCTTTTGTAGTGGGAACTGGGAGGAAATTTAGAAGAAAGAGGGGAGATGCAAGAAAAGGGCAGAGGCTCTAATAGCCATCTTGTGGGCTGACAGACCTCAGAGTCCCTGTGATGCACCTGTTGACTGCAGCAAATATGGCAGGCAAGGGTATTTTAGGAGGGACTGTCCAGTCAGCAGGGAGAAGACACCTCAACCCTGTCCAGTTTGTGATGGGGACCAATGGAAGGCAGACCATCCCTGGAAACACAGGTCGCTGGGTCCAGGGTTGGTCTTCCAAGCAGGACAGCAGGCCGTGGGGCTTCTCTCCCCATCTTCAGTGGTTCAGACTGCCATTGCCGTTCAGGAGCCCTGGGTGATTCTGGGGGCTGATGGAAGGAGAGTGGAACTACTCCTAGACTCCAGAGTGGGACTTCCAGTTCTATTCTCCTATCTAGGCACCCCTCCTCTCTTGACATGACCCTGAGGGGCATCTTAGGAAAGACTTTCTAACCTCTTGTTGTAGTTGGGGAGACCTCTTTCTTACTGTTCTCTTTCCCCTGTTGAAGGAACCCATTTGCATAAGGCAAGAGACTTTTTCCCCCAGGTGCCTTCCCTCCGCTGCGCTTAAGTTCTCCTTCTTCCAGTATGTCAGGAGTCAACATAGTCCTGTGAATACAGAGAGCTTTTCTATGTGAGGGGTTAGGTTTTTTCATTTTGGAAAACATCTTATTAGGACAGGTTCCCGATTCCCAGGACTCTCTTTATATCCCTTGTTTAAGGAGGACCTGGTTCCACAGCTCCACCTGCTTATGATAGGGAGGCAATGGAGAAGTGGCCCCCACCAGTTGCTAGCTGCAATTGGGCAAGGGCCACCTGGAAGTAATTTAATGGGCCGTACACCCTCCTGAGGCAACTTTTTGTCCAAAGGTTTAGTTTGAAGCCCTGAAATGGAACGCTAGACCTGAGACATGACAGTGGGAGTCAAGGGATAGAGTACAGGTAAGCATGACTAATTCCTCCCTATTAGGACCTCCCACTTCATGGATTGAGGTCATTCTCACATCCATGACATAGTTAAGGTCTAGGAAACCCAAAGGTTACCGACAGTGAGAGGATAGGGCGGCATGTAGGTAAGTGAATATTCGTACCTATTAGGCCTCCACGCTACATAGGTGAAGATTGCACTTGCACCCATGGGATGTCACCTGCAAAGGTCGTGAGGACTCAGGGATATAAGGTCAGAAGAAAAAATAAGGATGCCTTTTTTTATCCCCATAATATACCCTTGGTGTTTGCTGGAAAGAGAGAGAAAAAAGGGATGCCTCTTTTTCCCTCTTTCCAGATGGGTAACCAACCATCTTCAGCCTCCACTCCTCTTGAGTGCATCCTAAAACACTGGAACTCTTTTGGTCCTCAGACCCTGAAAAAAGAAAAAAAAAAGTTTTTGTTTTTTTTTTCCTATTTTCCTCCTGTGTCCTCTCTTCATATCTCCATACCACAGGACACACCCCTTGGATGGATCTCCCAAGCTGGGTAGATTTTAATTTCTCCCAATCTCAAACCTCTTGGTAATATCTTGATAATAAACAATTTATATTTGTCTGTTCCCCCTTCACAGGACTCCAGGGGCAATAGGGCTCCATGGCTTCAGGGAAAAGAACCCAGAAGGCTGACATGTTGGCAAAAGGGTAAAAGTTCTTACCAGTTAGACTTCTGGCTTCTCTCTCTCTGTGCAAACTGGTTGCAGGAATGGTAAAACTTACTGTATTATTTTTTCTTCCATGAGTTCAAAAGCCAAAAGTATTGGTCATTTGGCATGGCTATGGTCGGGTAATAAAAGATTTAAAAGGACTTCTTAAAAAAGGAGTGTTATAGTTAAAATCAGCTTAATGAAAGATGGATATCCAAGCTGTAGGTATATTTAAAAAGGCTTTGTGTCTTTTCTCTTAGCGGATCTTGTTTTTCTGAAAGAAAGATTTTTTATTCTCAATCAGCTTAATTATTTCTCTCCATTTTTGTCTTGCCATGAACACATGAAGGGCTCCAGGATTACTTCTGGTGACCTGGGTCTCCTTGGGAAAATGGAGAAGGTGCCATTGACCCCAGTTTGGGAAAAACCTCTGTTTTCCTCAAAAAACCCCAGGAATTACAGATGGATGGATTCCTCTCAAAATCTGATTTGTCTATCAGCTATGCCTGCTTATTAAATCTTAGAAACTGCATGTTTTCCTAGACATGTTTCTTGAAGAGCTTCTCCCTGAGGCCAGTAATTCAATTAAGAGATTGGCACATAGAAAATCTTACAACTACTGGATACCCTTCTGTCTGTCTGTGTAGTTATATATGTGTTATGTGTGTGATGTTTATATAAAAGATTTATAACTGATTGGCTTAAGGAAAAAGAAGCACTTAAATCAAATACTCTTAAAGAAAAATAGAATGTAATGCCTTTTAGTTCACATGACTTTAATCTTTGAGAAATAATGTTTTTAAAATTATTGGTAAAATAAAATTGTCTTCAAAATTTAGATGTGTGGTCCAAATTAGGTTTGCTAAATGCTTTAAGATCATAAACTGCTTTTTTGGCTTTTGAAAACTGTTCAACTTGCCTGCTTTACAGTTTGGTAAGGCCTGGGGAAATTTGGAGTTAACCACTCTCCTAACTATGCTGGAAAGCGTCAGACCTTATCCACACCCAATACATAATTAAAATAACTTACCGGGTTTTCCACCAAAATTAAACATTGCTGAGAGTTAACACTGTAATATGTAACTGAGACTACTGAAAATAAATTTACATACAAAGTGTGTAAGAAGAGTAAAATGTGGTTTTGGTAAAAGATTATAAGAAGGGATGGGAATGTAAATTTCTGCCTCAGTTTAGATGGTTAAAGGATTATTTAAAAGCTAAAGGTCTGAACAAATTGTGGAAAGTTTATAAAAATTAACCATGTTAAATAAACTTATATTGACTACATTCAAAAGAGTACAATTGGCTTTTTCTGTAAATTGAACTTGAGAATCAAAGCACAACAAGGTTATCTTGAGGCACTGACCTGCTATTTAACAAAAATGTGTATAGGGTTATAAAAAGTCTATAAGAATCTTACCTCGTGGTAAAACTGATTAAGATTTTCAGGTAATGTTAAAGGATGATGGAAGATTTTTGTTTTCCTTGGCAACAAACTATTAAAAAAAGAAGGAAAAGACAAGAGACAGATTGTTTGGAAAGCTAAGTCTTCCCTCTTAATAAGTAAAGGTTTTTGGCCGGGCGTGGTCGCTCAGGCCTCTAATCCCAGCACTTTGGGAGGCTGAGGTGGGTGGATCATGAGGTCAAGAGATGGAGACCATCCTGGCCAACATGGTGAAACCCCGTCTCTACTAAAAATACAAAAATTAGCTGGGCATGGTGGTACACGCCTGTAGTCCCAGCTACTAGGGAGGCTGAGGCAGGAGAATCACTTGAACCAGGGAGGCAGAGGTTGCAATGAGGTGAGATCGTGCCACTGCACTCCAGCCTGGTGACAGAGTGAGACTCCATCTCAAAATGAATAAATAAATAAAAATAAGTAAAGGTTTTTGCCTTCTTTTTAGATTCATCACTTTGACTAAATAAATGACTTACGGTAACCTGAAATTCTATTTCTTAATATCAACTGTTTTAAATCTGTAACATATTTTATCTTTCCCAAAATAAAATTTCAGCTTCAAAATTGTCTTTTCTCACTCCTGGAGCATCCAGAAGAGAGGTAAACAAAATTATTTAACATGTTTAATTTATGGAATTGTCAAGATAAAGATAGCATTTAGTCTTCTTCAGGTTATGTTTTGGTGAATAATGTTGGTGTATGTTCCAAAATTGTATGGGACTTCTAAAATCCAAATGTCTGACTATGTGTTATCAATTATAATTAGGGTTATTGGGTTAGTATATTGTAGAGCACAGAGGTGGACAAATTTCTTTGTCAATTGTGTTTTTTAGTGTGATTACCGTAGGGCACTTTGACAAACACAGACAATTGTTGTCTTGTTTTGATCCTCTTCTAAAGATGGATTACAGTCCTTGAGTGCAAGTTTCTGATAACCTTGGAGATTGTAACCAGGAGTTAAATGGGCGGACTGAATTAATGGAAGATAGAAGTAATGTTTTCTTCACTTTTTGCTTGGAACATTGCTGATCTTTGTTTTGTTTTTCAGAGTCAATGAAGTTTTCTTTTGAGCTATTTGCAGCTTTTGACAATTGTAGGAGTGAACAAACCAGTGATCTCTGTCCACAGCTTGGAGAATAATAAGGGGGATGGGCCACCAAACTCAAAATGGTCATGCAATTGGATGATGGCTCCCTTTTGCTGGGGACCCTTAGATAGACCCCTGAGAGAAAATCTGACTGCGATTTCTCCCAAAACAATAGCCCTGTGATAGTGAATACTGAGTATCAACTTGTTTGGATTGAAGGATACCAAGTAATGATCCCTTGGGTGTGTCTGTGAGGGTGTTGCCAAAGGAGATTAACATTTGAGTCAGTGGGCCGGGGAAGGCAGACCCACCCTTAATCTGGTGGGCACAATCTAAACAGCTGTCAACAAATATAAAGCAGGTAGAAAAAACGTGAAAAAGCCAGACTGGCTTAGCCTCCCAGCCTACATCTTTCTCCCCTGCTGGATTCTTCCTGCCCTTGAATATCCAACTTTGAGTTCTTCAGTTTGGGACTCGGATTGGCTCTCCTTGCTCCTCAGCTTGCAGACAGCCACTTGTGGGACCTTGTGATCATGTAAGTTAATACTTAATAAACTCATATATATATATGCTTGCAGACAGCCTCTTGTGGGACCTTATGATCATGTAAGTTAATACTTAATAAAGTCACATATATATATATATATATATATATATATACACACACACACATATATTTCATGTTCACGTAAACTAAGATTCATAAAAGAAGGAGAAATAAATTATTTTTCAGGCAAGTAAACATTAAGAATTTGTTACCACATATACCACATATGTTACCATATATACCACATATGTTACTATATATATATAAAATTAGTTCTGTCCCTCTAGAGAACCCTGACTAATACAGATTTTGGTACCAGGAGTGGTTCTAGAGAAACAGAATATTAAGGATACAGTTCTTTCACTGGTTTTGGGGTTTCTAGAGTTGACTGCTTAATATGATTAGACCCCAAAATGCTAAGGACTCTACTTCTAATAGTATGGAGCATACTGATAGTCCTTGGCATAAACTGCTTAGAGAGTTATACAAAATTAATGCATTTGATACTCCTGATTCACCACTCATGAGAGGCAGGGAGTTTAGTGACTCTGTACATAATACCTTTGACCATCTGTGGAGAACCAAGGAATATAATGAAGCTGTTTGGTTGCTCCTAAGTTCAGTGGACAAATTGATGAAGAAAAAAAAAAAAAACATGATGAGCTCAGAAATTCTGTCTCCCAGCTTCAGAAGCAGATAGCCTCAAATCTGCTAAGATTGCCCTGAGTGGTAGTCTTATTTCCAGTAGAGAAAGAGCTGAAATTGTGGAAAAACAGACACGAGCGCTTATCATGTAAGTGGCTGACCTGCAATGAAAGGTGCATGCACAGCCTTGCCAGGTGTCTTCTGTTAAATGATTGGAAAAGAATGGGACCCTGTATCTTGGAATGGGGAGGTGTGGGAAGACCCTGATGAAGTTGGGGACACTGAGTTTGTAAACTCTGATGAACCGTTTTTGCCGGAAGGAACAGTTTCCCATCCCCAGTGGTGGCAACATCCCTTCCCCAACCTGTGCTGCCATCAGCCTTTCCACCTTTGTCTGAGGAGACAAACCCTGTGCTGCCTGAGGCGACAGTGATGGCCTCCCCTGAGGCAGCTGCCAGGAAAAATTATGTTGATCCTCCTCAGGAACCACCCCCAACACTCGTTTGTTTCTAGACCTATAACTAGACCAAAGTCTCGACAGACCCCTAGAGGTGAGGTTTAGAGTGTGACCCATGAGAAGGTGTGCTACACTCAAAAAGAACTGTTTGAGTTCTCTAATTTATATGAACAGAAATCTGGAGAACAGGCATGGGAATGAATATTAAGGGTATGGGATAATGGTGGAAGGAACATAGAGTTGGATAAAGCTGAATTATTAATTTTGGCCCGCTAAGAAGGGACGTTGCATTTAATGTTGCAGCTCAGGGAGTTAAAAAAGGTTCTAATAGTTTATTTGCTTGATTAGCCAAAATATGGATTAAAAGATGGCACACTGTGAGCAAGCTGGAAATGCGTGATCTCCCTTGGTTTAATGTAGAGGAAGAGATCTAAAGGCTTAGGGAGTTTGGGATGTTGGAGTGAATTAGTCACTTTAGATCTACTCATTTCAGCTGGGAGGGTCCAGAAGATATACCCTTGACCAATACCTTGTGAAATAAATTTGTGAGGGCAGGACCTGCATCTTTGAAGAGCCCTGTAATTGCTCTTCTCTGTATGTCAGATCTAACAGTGGAAATCACAGTCACTCAACTACAAAATTTAAATACAATGAGAATAATCGGATCCCGAGGTGGCAGGGGCCATGTGACAACACTAAACAGTCAAAGGCAAGGTGGGTATAGCTACCGTAATGGACAGCAGAGGCAAAGTGACAATCATAATAGTCTGACTTGTGTAGAGCTCTGGCATTGGCTAATTTATCATGCTGTTCCTAGAAGTGAAATTGATAGGAAGCCTACTGCATTCCTACTTAAATTATAAAAATAGAAAATTTCCAGGTTGAATGAACAAAACTGCCCCTCAATCAATTTCCAGACTTGAGCCAGTTTACAGACCCAGAACCCTTTGAATGAAGGGGAGGCTAGGTCACCTTGAGGAAGGACTCCACTACATTACCAACACTTTATGCAGTGAATCTTTTTCCTATCCTTCCCCCGAGGAGACCTCTGGCCTTTTACCAATGTAACTGTGCAATGGGGAAAGGAAAATTATCAGACATTTTGGGGACTACTGGACACTGGTTCTGAGTTGACGTTGATTCCAGGGGAACCAAAATGTCATTGTGGTCCTCCAGTTAAAGTAGGAGGTTATGAAGGTCAGGTAATTAATGGAGTTTTAGCTGAGATCTGACTTACTGTGGATCCAGTGGGTACCTGGACTCATCCTATAGTCATTTCCCAGTGCCAGAATGCATAATTGGCATAGACATACTTAGCAGCTGATGGGGGCCTATGGGGGCCTGCCAAAAGCTCCTGGGGGGGCAGGCTCCTATGTGTGGCATCAATGTGTGGTAGAACCCCCGCATTGGCTCCCTGACTGATAGAGTGATGGCCATTATGTTGGGAAAGGCCAAATGGAAGCCGTTAGAGCTGCCTCTACCTAGGAAAGTAATACATCAAAGACAATATCACATTCCTGGTGGGAATGCTGAGGTTAGTGCCGCCATCAAGGATTTGAAAGACATAGAGGTATTGATTCCCATCACATCCCAATTCAACTCTCCCACTTGGCCTGTGCAGAAGACAGATGGATATTGGAGAATGACAGTGAATTATCATAAGCTTAACCAAGTGGTGACTCCAATTGCAGCTGCTGTACCAGATGTGGTTTCATTGCTAGAGCAAATTAACGCATCTCCTGGTACCTGGTATGCAGCCATTGACTTGGCAAATGCTTTTTCTCCATTTCTGTCCATAAGTCCCACCAGAAACATTTTGCCTTCAGCTGGCAAGGCCAGCAATATACCTTTACTGTCCTACCTCAGGGATATATTAACTCTCCAGCTTTGTGTCATAATCTTATTAGGAGAGACCTTGGACACTTTTCGCTTCCACAAGATATCACACTGGTCCATTACATTGATGACAATATGCTGATTGGATCCAGTGAGCCAAAATTAGCAAACACTCTGGACTTATTGGTGAGACATTTGTGTGCCAGAGGATGGGAAATAAATCTGACTAAAATCCAGGGACCTCCTACTTAAGTAAAATTTCTAGGGGTCCAATGGTGTGCAGCCTGTTGAGATATTCCTTCTAACATGAAGGATAAGTTGCTGCATTTGGCCCCTCCTACCACCAAGAAAGAGGCACAATGGGGCTAGTGGGGCTATTTGGATTTCAGAGGCAACACACTGCTCATTTGGGTGTGTTACTCTGGTCCAATTATCGAGTGACCCAAAAGGCTGCCAGTTTTGAGTGGTGTCCAGAACAGGAGAAGGCTCTGCACCAGGTCCAGGCTGCTGTGCAAGCTGCTCTGACATTTGGGGCATATGACCCGGCAGATTCACTGGTGCTTAAGGTGTCAGTGGCAGATAGGGATGTTGTTTGGATCCTTTGGCAGGTAGGTGAATCACAGCATAAGCCTCTAAGATTTTGGAGCAAGGCTGTGCCATCTTCTCCAGATAACTGACCTCCTTTTTAGAGACAGCTCTTGGCCTGTTACTGAGCTTTGGTGGAAACTGAACATGTGACTATTGGTCATCAAGTCACCAAGCGACCTGAGCTACCTATCATGAACTGCGTGCTTCAAAGATGGTTCTGCATGATATGCAGGCACCACTCAAAAGTGGAGAGTTGCAGTACTACAGCCCCTTTCTAAGATATTCCTGAAGGACAGTGGTGAAGGGAAATCTTTCCAATGGGCAGAACCTCGAGCAGTGCACCTGGTTGTGCACTTTGCATGGAAGGAGAAATGGCCAGATGTACAATTATATACTGATTCATGGGCTGTAGCCAATGGTTTATCTGGATGGTCAGGAACTTGGAAGAAGCATAATTGAAAAAATGGTGACAAAGAAATTTGGAGAAGAGGTATTTGGATGGACCTCTCTGAACGGTCAAAAACTGTGAAGATATTTGCATCCCATGTGTGTGCTCCCCAACGGGTTACCTCAGCAGAGAAGAATTTTAATAATCGAGTGGATAGGATGACCCATTCTGTGGACACCACTCAGACTCTTTCCCCAGCTATGCCTGTCATCGCCCAATGGACCCATAAGCAAAGTGGCCATGGTGGCAGGAATGGAGGTTATGCATGGGCTCAGAAATATGGACTTCCACTCACCAAGGCTGACTTGGCTATGTCCACTGCTGGGTTCCCAATTTGCCACCAGCAGAGATCAGCTTTGAGTCCTTAATATGGCACCATTCCTCATGGTGATCAGCCTGGTGACAGGTTGATTATTTTGGACCTCTCCCATCATGAAAAAGGCAGAGGTATGTCCTTATTGATATAGACACTTACTCTGTATATGGGTTTGCCTATCCTGCATACAATGCATCTGCCAAGGCTACCATCTGTGGACTCATGGAATGCCTTATCCATCGTCATGGTATTCCACACAGCATTGCCTCTGGCCAAGGCACTCACTTTACTGCTAAAGAAGTGAATCAATGGGCTCATGCTCATGGAATTCACTGGTCATACCGTGTTCCCAATTATCCTGAAGCAGCTGGATTGATATAACGGTGGAATGACCTTCTGAAGTCACAGTTACAATGCCACCTCGGTGACAATACTTTGCATGTCTGGGATAAAGATCTCCAGAAGGCCGCGTATGCTCTGAATCAGCATCCAATATATGGTACTGTTTCTACCATAGCCAGGATTCATGGGTCCAGGAGTCAAGGGGTAGAAGTGGAAGTGGCACCACTCACCATCACTCCTAGTGATCCACTAGCAAAATTTTTGCTTCCTGTTCCTACCACATTATATTCTATTGGCCTAGAGGTCTTAGTTCCAGAGGGAGGACTGCTGCCACCAGGAGACACAACAACGACTCCATTAAATTGGAAGTTAAGATTGCCACCTCTACACTTAGGGCTCCTATCTTTAAGTCAACAGGCTAAGAAGGGAGTTACAGTGTTGGCTTGGGTAACTGACCCAGACTATCAATATGAAATCAGTCTACTACTCCATACGGAAGTAAGGAAGAGTACGCATGGAATACAGAAGGTCCAGTAGGTCGTCTCTTAGTATTACTGTGCCCTGTGATTAAGGTCAATGGGAAACTACAATAGTCCAATCCAGGTAGGACTACAAATGGCCCAGACCCCTCAGGAATGATGATTTGAGTCACTTCACCAGGAAAGAAACCACTACCTGCTGAGGTGCCTCCTGAAGGGAAAGAAAATACAGAATGAGTAGTAGGAGAAGGTAGTCATCAATACCAGCTATGATCACGTGACAACGTGCAGAAACGAGGACTGTAACTGTCATCAGTATTTCCTCCTTCTTTTGTTAAAAACATGTTTGTGCACGTATACAATTGCACTAACAAAATACCTTAATTGTACTTCCTTTTCCTTTATCATGTGACATAAGATTTATTGACTTTATATCAGCATTTAAGCATTGTTAACTTTATGTAATAGTATTTGGGATGGGGATAGGTGCATTTCCGGTCATATGAAGAATAGTTGTATTATGTTAGGCATAATTATAACCTTATTACTGTCTTTATTTGAAGATCATATATAATCTCAGGAGATGTGTATGGGTTCAATTGGACAAGGGGTGGACTTGGGATGGTTAATACTGAGTGTCAACTTGATTGGATTGAAGGATACAAAATATTGATCCCCTGAGTGTGTCTGTGAAGGTTTTGCCAAAGGAGATTAACATTTGAGTCAGTGGGCTGGGGAAGGCAGATCCATCCTTAATCTGGTGGGCACAATCTAATCAGCTGCAGTGAATATAAAGCAGGCAGAAAAAACAAGAAAAACCCAGACTGGCGTAGCCTCCCAGCCTACATCTTTCTCCCCTGCTGGATGCTTCCTGCCCTTGAACAACTGACTCCAAGTTCTTCAGCTTGGGATAAGGACTGGCTTTCCTTGCTCCTCAGCTTGCAGACAGCCTCTTGTGGCACCTTGTGATCATGTAAGTTAATACTTAATAAACTCATATATATGTACATATATATATATGCCTCCTCTGTGCAGCATGGGTCAGAGGCTCCAGGTCCTCTTAGGGCCCCTCTCTGCCTGCCTGTCTGTGCCAGACTGTTACTCCCCAGCTGGCAGGTGGCTTGGTCTGGCCCCATCACAGTGGTCCCCAAGGCAGTGGGCTCCCTGGGGGCTCCAGCTTGTCCCTGGCTCCTGGCAACTCCATGGAGCACAGCACTGCCACAGGCCCAGCTCCACCTCCTCCTTGTACCCTCCCTGCAGTGGTGACAGGCAAGAGTAATGGAGGCTCTAGGCATAAAGGCAGGTCCTGCCTGGCCATGTGAGGGTGGGAGCAGTACAATCAGCTGCTTCAGGGACGTGAGACACAGGGTACCCACCACCGCTATTGCTGTTCCTGGAGCCACTCCTGCCACCACAGACAGTGCGTCCCTGTGCAACTGGCATGATGACAGTGGCTTCTCTGGACCGCCTGCTGTTGCCATCAATTCCCTGTCCGAAGAGGTACATCTAACTGCCATTAAGATAGGCGTGATGACTTCTCTTAACTGCTTTATGCCAATAGGGGGTGTATTAGTCAGGGTTCTCTAGGGGAAAGAACTAATAGTGTGTGTGTGCATGTATATATATGTGTGTATATATATATATGTATACGTATATATATACGTATATATACATATATATATACGTATACATATATATATATACGTATATATACATATATATATACGTATACATATATATATATACATATAAGAGGACCTTATACAATTCAACAAATAAGAAATAACGCTGTTAAACATGTGTAAGGGACATGAACAGACACTTTTCAAAAGAAGACGTGCATGTGTCCAACAAATACATAAAATAAAAACACTCAGTATCACTAATCATCAGAGAAATGCAAATAAGCATCACAATAAGATACCATCACATACCAGTCAGAAAGGCTATTATTAAATTTTTTTTTAAAAAGATGTTTGTAATTTTCCAGAGAAAAAGGAAACATTTACACACTACTGGTGGGGATATAAATTAGTTCAGCCACATGAAAATCAGCTTGGAGATCTCTCAAAGAATTTAACACAGAACCTACTATTTGATACAGCAATGCTATAACTGGCAAATATACTTAAAGGAATTTAAGTCATTCTACCACAAAGACTCATACACATATAGCACTTTACACCATAGCAAGGACATAGAATCAACCTAGATGCCCAACATTGGAGGACTGGATAAAAACATGTGGCACATACACACCATGAAACACTACATGGTTTTAAAAAATGGAATGAAATCATGTCTTCTGCATCATCAAGGATGCAGCTGGAGGCCATTAGCTCAAGCAAATTAACACATAATCAGAAAACCATGTACCACATGCTCTCACTTATAAGTGGAAACTAAACATTGAATACACATAAACACAAAAAGAGATATCGTAGACCTCAGGACTTACTTGAGGATGTAGGATGGGAGGAGGGTGAGGATAAAAATACTACCTATCAGGTTTTATACTCACCACCTGGGTGACAAAATAGTTTGTAAATCAAACCCCAGTAACATGTAATTTACCCCAATAAAAAAATCTGCACCTGTAGTCCCTGAAAATAAAAGTTGGAAGAAAAAATATATATGATCCTATATTTCTGATAAACATAGATGCAGAAATGCTCTAGAACATACTAGCAAATCAAATTCAACAAAACATTAAAAAGATCATTCACCATGATCATGTGGAATTCATCCAATGAATACTAGGATGGTTCAATGCATACAGGTCAATAAATGAGATACACATACTAATAGAATTAAGTACAAAAGCCATATGATCACTTAATAGACACCAAAAATTTCAGTAAAATTTATTCTTTCATTATAAAGAAAAGTCAACAAATTGGGTATGGAATAAACAAACTTTCAACCATAAATACCATATATGACAAACCCACAGCTAGCATCATACTGAAGAGGCAAAAATTAAGACTTTTCTTCTAAGGTTTAGAATGACATAAGAATGCCCATTTTCAACTTTGTATTTGATCTAGTACTGGAAATCCTGGACAGAGCAATTAGACTGAATAAAGAAATGCAGGCCATCCAAACTGAATAGGAATCAACTAGTTCTTATTTGCAGAACACATAATCTTACACTTAGAAAAAGCTAAATAGTCTACCACAAAAATTGTTAGAACTGATAAACTTATTTAGTAAAGTTGCAGAATAAAATACCAGTAGCATTTCTATATGCCAACAATGAACAATCTAAGAAAACACACAATCCAATTTATAATACCTACAAAAATACCTAGAAATAAACTTAAAGACAATAGTAAGAGATTTTTACAATGAAAATTATAAAACACTGATAAAAGAAATTAAATAAGAAACAGTAAAATGTATTTCATGCTTCTGTATTTGGAGAATTAATATTGCTCAAGTATCTATACCACCCCCAAAAATCTATAGATTCAGCCAAATCCCTTTAAAAATAACAATGACATTTTTCACAGAAACAGAAAAAAAAAAACCTAAAATTTAAATGGGCCCATAGCAATACTGAGCAAAATAAATAAATAAATAAATAAATAAATAAATAAAGCCTGTGGCATCACATAAACTGTCTTTAAATTATACTACACAGCCATAGTAACAGAAACAGTACACTACTGACATAAAAAAATCACATAGATAAATAGAAGGGAATAGAGTACACAGAAAAAAATCCATGCATTGGCAGCCAGCTCGTTTTTGACAGTGATGCCAAAAACATATATTGGCGTAATGACAGTTTCTTCAATAAATGATGCTGGAAAAACTAAATATCTATATACAGAAGGATAAAACTTGACCCTTATCTCTCACTGTACAGAAAAATCAAATTAAAATATATTAAAGACATAAATATAAGCCCCAAAACGATGAGACTACTACAGGAAAATATTAAGAAAAAATGCTTCAAGACATTGGTCTGTGCAAAGATTTTTCGAGTAAGACTTCAATAGTATAGGCCACCAAAGCAAACATAGACAAATGGGATTATATCATGCTAAAACGCTTCTGCACAGCAAAGGCAACAACCAACAAAGTGAAGATTAGACCTTCAGAGTGGGAGAAAATATTTGCAACTATCTATCTGAGAATGAATTAATAATGAGAATATATATTTTGCACTCAATATCAAAAAATATCAAATTAAAATGGAAAAAATTTTTGAGTAGTCATTTGTCAAGTGAAGACATACAAATGGCCATCAGGTATATGAAAGAAAATATTCAACAACACTAATTACCCAGGAAATTCCAATCAACACCACAATAAGATAACAACTCATCCCAGTTAAAATTAGTATTTTCAAAAAGATAAAAAGAAACAGATATTGGTGAGAATGTGTAGAAAGGGGAACATTTAAACACTATTGGTAGAAATATAAATTAGTACAGCAACAATGGAAAACAGTATGAAGTTTTCTCAAATGTTTAAAAATAGAACTACCATATAATCTAGCAATTCCAGTACTGGGTATATATCCAAAAGAAAGAAAATCAATTAATAAGGAGACATCTGCACTCCCATGTTTATTGCATCATTAATCACAACAGCCAAGATAAAAATCAACCTATGTGTTCATAAACACATGAATGAGTAAAAGGAAACTGTAGTATATATACAGAATAAAATATTACTAAGCCATTAAAAGTATGAAATTATGTCATTTGCAGCAACATGGATGAAACAGTAAGTTCAGTGAAATAAACCAGGCACAGAAAGATAAATATGATATGGTCTGTCTCACATGTGGGAGCTAAAAATGTTGACATCATCAAAGTAGAGAGTAAAATAATTGTCACTAGAGGCTGGGAAATGTAGGGGTGTATGGGGGAGAAAAAATTGGGGTAACAGGTAAAAGCATACAGTTAGATAGAATAAATAAATGCTAATATTTGATAGCACAATAGGATGCCAATAGATAACAATAATTTATTGTAGAAATGAAGATTTGAAATACTTCTAATACAAAGAAATAATATTTGAGGTAATGAATATCCTAGTTATTTTCATTTAAACATTATACATTGTATGTATGTATAAAAATATTACATGTGCCTTATGTGTACAATTGTTTTCCATTTATTGAGAAATTAAAAAAACAAAGATAAATTACACATTTAAAATGCTGACAGAAAGCATTCTAAATATACAGAGGAAAATGGACATTTGGATTAATGAAGACCACATGGAGACATATTATAATTGAATAAAATGAAAATAAAAAACAAAGAATGTAAGACACAGAAAGAGAAAAGTGACTTGTCATATATGGAAGAGTTCTCGATAGAACTATCAACTCATTTCTCAGTAGAATAATTGCTGCCCAGGAAAGAAATGAATGATATAATCCATAAGCAGAAAGAAAAAATCTCCCAAAGACAAATACTGTACCAGATAAAACAGTTATTTAAGAATAAAGGAAATAAAAATTTCTAGAAAAATGAAAATTGAGGGAATTTTTTACCTCTCGACCTACTGTATAAGATTGCTACAGTGAATTATTCAAATACAAAAATGTATTAAACAATAACATGAAAGCATATGAAAGTACAAATCTTACTGATAAATGTAAATACATAGACAAATAGTGAATGTTGTAATACTGCAATGATGGCACATAAATAATGTTAACACTAATATAAAAAAATTGAAAAACAAAAATATTAAGAATAATTATAATCTCAGAAGTTTGATAAAAAAAGTAATATATGAAAACGTAAAATCTGACAGCAGTAATTTAAAATGTATCCATAAGAAGAAAATAAAGTATACAGTTCCTGTCAGCGATCTCCAGCCATTAGGCACCAAGGACTGTTTTTGTGAAAGATGATTTTTTCACCAACTGAGTTGGGTAGATGGTTTCAGAATGAAAGTGTTCCACCTCAGATCTTCTGGTATTAGTTAAATTCCCATAAGGAGTATGCAACCTAGGTCCCTTGCGTGTCCAGTTCACAATAGGATTTGCGCTTCTGTGAGAATATAATGCTGCTGCTAATCTGATGGGAGACAGAGCTCATGTAGTAATGTTTACTCACTGCCACTCACCTCCTGCTGTATAGCCTGGTTCCTAACAGGCTATGGACTGGTACCAGTCCGTGGGTTTGGGGACTCCTGCTGTATATGATTAAAGTTAAGTTGTTATAGCTTAAAATATGGTTATTAGTATAAAACAGAGAGAAAACAATAAAAAAGTAGAAGTAGAAAGTTCTTACCCATCAATTTTAACTTTAGATATAAGTGATCTAAACTTCCTAATCAAGAGTCTAATTTGCTAAATGAATAAAAATAAAAAGTACCCAACTTTGTGGTATCTACAAGAGACTAATTTTAGAATTAAAGACATATATAGACTACATCTGAGGAAAAGAAAATATATGTTTCATGCAAATGTAACCAAAATCAAGCAAGAGTATCTATACTTATACCAGAAAAACATAGACTTTAAGTTAAAAACTAAAATAGTCAAATAAAGCTGTTTTGTATTGAGAAAAGGGTCCATTCAAGAGGAAAAGAAAACAATTATAAATATATATAAAACCAACATCAAAGCTCTATATAAAACAGAAGTCGACAGAACTTAAGGAAGGAATAGACACAAATGCAATAATAGTAGGAAACATTCATGCCTGCTTTTAATCATGTTGTATTAGTACCTGACTTCCAGCAACACCACATCTTTCTGTCTTCTTAGCCTTCCAAATTTCTAGGAAGTCCCAAATTTTCCCACATTTTCCTGTCTTCTTCTGAACCCTCCAAACTGTTCCAACCTCTGCCTGTTACCCCGTCCAAAGTCACTTCCGTATTTCCAGATGTCTTTATAGCAGCACTCCACTCTCTGTGGTGCCAATATACTGTATTAGTTTGTTCTCATGCTGATACAAAGAACTTCTCAAGACTGGGTAATTTATAAAAGAAAGAGGCTTAATTTACTTACAATTCCACATGGCTGGGGGGCCACAGGAAACCTACAATCATGGTAGAAGGAGAAGCAAACACATCCTTCCTCACGTAGAGGTAGGAAGGAGAAATGCCAAGCGAAGAGGGAAAAGCCCATTATAAAACCATTGGATCTCATGACAACTCACTCACTATCAGGAGAATAGCATGGGGAACCACCCGCATGATTCAATTACCTCCTGCAAGTTTCCTTCTATGACACCTAGGGATTGTGGGAATTACAATTCAATATGAGATTTGTGTGGGGACATAAACACACCATATCAAATGGATAGATCATTCAGAAAAAAAAATCAATAAGGAAACAGCAGATTTGAATAAACTATAGATAAAATGAACCTAAAACATATGCAGAGAGAATTTTACCCAACAGCAGTAGAATACTCATTCTTGTCAAGCACACATGATACATTCTCCAGGATATATCAACTGTTAGGTCACAAAATAAGTCTTAACAATTTTAAGAAAATTGAAATCTTTTCAAGTATCTCTTTCAATCAAAATTGCATCAAACTAGATTAATAATGGAATAAAAATGGTAAAATTCACAAATATGTGGAAAGTAAACAACACACATTTATACAACCATTCGGTCATAAAAATATTTTTAAAAGAATTGAGAAAATAAGACAAATGAAACTGAAACCAACATATCCAGACTTAAAGGATGCAGGAAAGCAGTACTAAGAAAGATGATTATAGCAATAAATGCTTACCCTAAAAAAGAACAAAGATCTCAAATACACAATGAAATTATACCTCAGAAAATTAGAAAAAAAATGGAACAGCAAAAAATTAAGAGAGAAAAGAAAATAATAAATCTTAGAGCAGAAATAAAATTTAAAAAAAACAGAAAAAATTAAAAATTAAACAACGAAGTTATTTTTAAGAAATGAAATTAACACTTAGCTAAAGAGAGATTCAAATAAATAAGAAGAAGTATAAAAAGAAGACATTACAACTGATTATGCAGAAATAAAATGATCATAAGGTATCATTTGAACAATTAAATGTGAACATATTGGGTAACCTAGAGAAAAAATAAAAATGCATAGAAATGTAATCTACCAAGACTGAATCAAGAAGAAATAGAAGGCCTGCATAGACCAACTAGAAGCATATTGATTGAAACAGTAATAAAAAAAAATCGACAAAGATAAGTCCAGTAGTAGGTGACTTCATTGGTGAAGTCTACCAAAGATTTAACAAAGATCTCTTACCAATTATTTTTAAATTATTTCAACACTTCCAAATTCATTATATGAAGCCAAGTATCACCCTGATACCAAGGTCAGAAAAGATATCACAAGAAAAAGAGTGTGTTTAGGGTTATAAGTATAGCAAGGAAATACACTCAAGGAAGTACATTCATATTTATTACTGATAACATATTGAGACACATCAGAATTGAAGGAAAGTTATACAGTTTTGGAAAACACATACCAATAGCACATTTATATGAATTCAGCCCAAGGAAAGCCAGAAACATTTTATCTTTTTATAGTTGACAATGCTCTCTGTATGATTTTAATATACCAAATAAGCCACATATGTCTCTTTTGGACTTTAGAGGACTTAATATTTAAGAGTTAATTAGATTAAAAAGGCTTAAATAAGAATTTGACTTTGGAAAATTTGTCAAATATCAAAGGATTAAACACTTGATACTATAATGCCATATGTTACTGTAAGTCATTTATTTACTCAAAATGAAAACCTTAAATTTTTTTACAAGGTAAAAATCTTTACTAATTAACAGAGCCATAAGGGGAGAAAAGCTATAGTTACTCTCTCTGAGATTTGGACCTGGAAAGTAAGGGGAATAGGTACTGATGGGTGTTAGTCCAGGAGGTCCACGTTAGGTGAAAAATAAGTTGGTGAACAACTTCCCCTCCAATTGTTAGGGAAGGATAGATATGTAACCACAGATAAAATTTTACTTTTCCCAGCATAGCCAGGGGGCATGTGTAACTCCACATGTCCCCAGGACTTACCCAGAATTTAACAGCTCTAAAGCAAGAAAATAAACTTAAAGTATAATAATAATAAAATAAAAAAATAAAACTGAACAATTATTAAAAGTTATAGAAACAGCTCATGACCATAAAGCATTCAGTAAACCTAATATTTGATCTGCGTAATTTAGACCAAATCTCAAAAGGATGGAGACATTTTATTTATTTATTTATTTATTTATTTATTTATTTATTTATTTATTTATTTTGAGACAGAGTCTCGCTCTGTTACCCAGGCTGGAGTGCAATAGAGCAATCTTGGCTCACTGCAACCTCCACCTCTTGGGTTCAAGCAATTCTCCTGCCTCCGTCTCCCGAGTAGCTGAGACTACAGGCATGCACCAACGCATCCAGCTGATTTCTGTAGTTTTAATAGAGATGGGGTTTAACCATGTTGGCAAGGCTGGTCTCAAACTCCTGACCTCAGGTGATCTGCCCGCCTCGACTTCCCAAAGTGCTGGGATTACAGGCGAAGATATTTTTATTTTATAGATAATTTTAAAAATGTTTTAATTAAATATTTCTAAAGTTACATGAACTAAAGGGTATTAATATTTTCTCCTGAAGCTAAAAACCTAATAAAGACAGCATAGGACTGATAAAATTTTATTTCTTAAGCTAGTTACCAAAAAGGCAAAGAAAAACCTTCTTCAGAGTGACTACTTCTCTTTATGGGAAGTCCATATAAATAAGTTGGAGGTCAAACTTGATGAAAAAATGCTTGAATTTAATCAGAAACAGGAAGGGTATGTTTAGGGTTATGAATATATCAGGGAAATACATGACTCTTAGGAAAAACATAAGAACTGTTCTAATTATATTGAGAATTTAGACATATTAAGAAAAGCTAAGAGTACAAAAGTTATGTTAGAGGAAAACGTTGTTTTAATTATATTTTTTTACTTTTAAGATAAAACACTTTAGCATTAGGCCATAATAATAGTTAGCACTGGAGGAAAAAATTACAGGAGTTGACGAAAAGCTGCAGAGAGTTATTATCTCAGACTTTCTTCAGGAGAGAAAAAGCTGAAAACAGTGAGGCACAGCAAAAGGTGAACTTCTGAGATAAAATCCTGAGAAGTTTTTAAAAGAACCAAGTTACACAATTTAAAGTAAAACTTCTTATAATTTCATTAAAACCAGATTAATACTTTAATAAAACCTTTTTAACAGAGGGAACCAATGTTAGAAAGACTGTCATAAATAATTTTCTTCCAATTATAATCAATTTAATTACATACAAAATTCCTTCCATAAATTTATCTTCACAAATCTTATCACAACTTACACAGACAATCTATGACAAGGTTGAATATTTTTACTTCTCCTAAATATCACTCTTTTTTAAACAGCCAGTCATTTTATTTTAGAACCAGAATTTAACCATACAAGATCTTTTTTATACAAAATTGTATTTTCTTTATGACCTGCTTTACCAAAAATACAACTTTATATTCACAGTTTTCTTTGTATTTCCTTTCCTCAACTTACACTTTCGGTTTTGGATACTTTGTATCCTCTTTGTAGAAAGTTTAAGGTTTGTACTGCATGTCTTTGTGTGAGCTCTGTGGGGGTGGGGCAGGAGTAAGTAATTTATATATTGTAGAAGTTCTCCCCCATCAAGAGGTAGCTCAGTTAGAGTTTTTGCTAGGGCCTGTTTGAATAAGTATGGACTATTTTTCAAACCTTAAATTTGGGCTTTCCAGGTTGAAGCTATTGGGTAAAGATTGGTTTGTGTGGCTTCCCCAGGAGAAATAGGGCTATTGGAGGGAAAAATGAATTCAGATGTTTGGTAAATATTATCCAGGCATCCATTTGGGAGAGTATATTTTTACACAAAAGAAGATTGGGACATTTAGGCATTACCAGGGACTGGTGGGCAAATAGCAATTGGTCCCTTAAGTAATAAAAAGGGGGTGCGGGCTGGGTACAGTGGCTCACACCTGTAATCCCAACACTTTGGCAAGCCCAGGTGGGTGGATCACCTGAGGTCAGGAGATCAAGACCAGCCTGGCCAACATGGTGAAACACTGTCTCTGCTAAAAATACAAAAATTAGCCAGGCATGGGGGTGGGTGCCTGTAATCCCAGTTACTCAGTAGGCTGAGGCAGGAGAATCACTTGAACCCGGGAGGAAGAGGGTGCAGTGAGCTGAGCTCGTGCCACTGAACTCCAGCCTCGGTGACAGAATGAGACTCTATCGCAAAATGAGGAGGGGGTGGAGTGTGAGTTTTTTTGGGGGACTGCCACTTGTCCTCACTACCCAACAGGATTTTGGACACAAGTTGCCCAGAGAAGGAGGTTAGCATAGGATAATCAGCTCTTGAATCCAAAATAAAATGTATAATCTTACCTGACACCATTAGACTTGCCTTGGTTTCGTTTTTTTTTTTTATGATGATGTCAGATCTCAGAGACAGCTGGAGAAGAGGACCACTTCAGTTCAAATCCATTACTGGATTGGGGTTTGGCCTGGGGCCTTTTGTCTCTTGAGACAGTCCCTTTTCCAGTGGCCAAGCTTGTGGCAGAGAGGAAAGGCCATTTGGGTCTTTCTACTATTTGGCACATTAGGACAGTTTACGTTTCAGTGGCCTGGCTTTCTGCTCTTATGGCAGTTTCTAGGGAAGGGATTTTTAAGGTAACCTAGAGGGGCCTGGTTGATTTGTAAAGCAGCCAATAATTGAGCCTGTCTCCCGTCTTTCCATTTCTCCTTCTGTTTGGCCCTGTTCTCCTCATCCTGATTTCGTTTATAAAAGACTGAGGAGGTCAATTTGACGATTTCTGACATATGGACTTTGGGTCCTAAGCCTGACTTTTGTAATTATTTTCTTAATATCTGAGGCAGCTTGGGTAAGAAAGTAATGCTTTAGGACTAGTTCTCCTTTGGGGATTCCTGGGTCTAAGTTGGTATGTTTGATAAGCGTTTCTTGCAGCCTTTTGAGAAAGGCTATAGGTTTGTTATTTGGCCCTTGGTCTATGGTGGCTAACTTATAATAATTTCCTTATTTGATGTTACTCCTTTTTATTACCTCTGCTAGGCATAGGAGCATATTGTTTCTGGCCTGTATCCCCCTCTGGGTAGTGTAGTCCCAACCGGGGTCCTGCATGGGAACAGCTGTAGTTACCATGAGGTAGGTAGCATCTGCCAAGTGTAGGTTATCCTTGCAGCAGAATGCTGCCTTATATATGTTTTCTTTTTCTTGTGAGAGGGCTTGTTTCATGAGGATGAACAAGTTAATAAAATATAAGAGTTAATTGTTGGAATCCATTGGTGAGCCTCTCAGTGTCAGCTGAGAGCTCTCCTAGGTTTTCTTTAACTTGGCAAAGGTCCTGTATAGAAGAGCGGACCTGGACCTAGGTGGGTCTGGGTGGCTCAATTATAATTTATATTTGTCCTTCACATGTTCCAAAAGAAAGAGGAAAATGAATCGGAAAGGTGCCTGAATGAGAAGTTGTTTTTTTTTATTTTACCTTTTCCAGGGAACCTGCATCCTTTAGGAGGCCATCCTGCAGTCAAGCCAGGGATATCAGGCATCCCTGTCCTCTTTGGCTCAATGACCCACACCCAGGCATCCCTTGGTGCTCCCCTGGACCGCTCTGTTCTGAAGTGGGTGTTCATGAAGCAGCTGTCTTCTCGAGGGAGTGTTTATTGCTTAAGCATCTGCAGCCCTTGGGGCTTTGGAAAAGGGAAAGCTTTTGGAATCCTTAGAACAAATAAGCCTAATTTTATGATGACAAGAATGTTGGTGTCTAACTGAATTGATTTCTGTCTTTATTTTTGGGGGAAGGTGTGAGTGGTCACACCCATTAGGTTTCTTAGGTTTCACAAAGGGAGTCTGGCCAAAAAGACATTTTACCCAGAAATTAAGTTTTTCTCTGTGTGGATAAAAACTCTATTTGCCCTGGACAGATGGAGAGGAATTCTGACATACACAGCAGAAAGGACCTCCAAATCAGCCTCGTCGGTCAAAGGTAAAAGTGAAGAAAGAAATGTGAGAAAGCCCTGCCAAGAACAAAAGGACAGGCTGGCAGGGGTAAGCAGTCTGATCTGTGAGGCTTATATGTGAGCAAGGGAGGGAGAGAAAAAACTTCACACCTTAAAGTGGCAAGAACAGCATTAGGCAATGCAGAAAAATCAGAGGCAGTCAACTTGGGGACTCAACCACCCTCGGCACTTACCTCAGAGAAAAGTTCACAGGAAAGGCCGTCTGAGCCACAGCACCACAGTATGTGACCAGGAAGTGTGGTAATCCTTGGTTCTTGCCTAACTTGAAAGATAGAATTCAGACAATAGATGCATAGCAATGGTTAAGTAGCAGAGTTTATTGAAGGTAGATAAGTACCTTCCTAGAGAGGAGTGGAAAACAGCCCCAGGCAGGTCCAGTTGGAATATTAGTAGTAGTAGTAGTGGTAGTAGTAATAGTAGTCGTAGTAGTGTTCATTTAAAGAGAGAGTACACACTCTGAAAGATGAGACAGAGCGGGCTGCTCAAAAGAATGAGCCAGCAACAGCTAGTGCTGGAATATTCTCTTTATGAGAATCTTACATAATTTTTTTATAAATGGCCAAGGGGGTGTTACTTGCAACAATGTTTTAGGAAGTCTCTTTGGGCACCTATGCTTTGTGGTTGTATGTGCTAGTACACACATTGCATGTCTTATTAGCATATAAAACCTCCACCCAGACTTCTGTTTGTTACTATTATAATGAACAAAAGGTTACTATTATAATGAACAAAAAAAACCTTCAATTTTTGAAGGAATGTGCATGCTTATCAGTGGAGAAAATTCCAGCATGGTTATCTCTGGCTAGGGCCTGATAAGTACCTTTCAAGGCTGGAGGAGCTAAACATCGAATACACATGGCCACAAAGAAGGGAACAAAGGACATCAGTAGCTGCTTGAGAAAGGAGGGTGAGAGGAGGTTGAACATTGAGAAACTACCTATTGGGTACTATGGTTATTACCTGGGTTACTAATCTGTACAAAAACCCATATGACATGCAATTTACCTATATAACAAACATTCACATATACCCTTGAACCTAAAATAAAAGTTAAAAAATATTTTCGATAAGATAAAAATGTTACTAAAATTGAAAAAAGAGAACACTACTGGCTAATATTCTTGATTAACATAGATGTAAGAATCCTTAACAAATTACAAGCACACTTAATACAATAAAATATCAAAAAGTTAATACATTTTGATCAAGGAAGATTTATTCCAGGGATGCAAGGATGGTCCAATATACACAAATTGATACATGTGATCCATCATATAGACCAAGTAATGACAAAACTATATGATTATCTCCATAGATACAGAGGAAGTATTTGATAATATTCAACCTTCTTCATGGTAAAAAAAAATCAGCAAATTAGATGTATAAGTAAAACACTTCAAAACAATAGCTACCATATATGACAAACGCACAGCTAACTTTATACTGAACAAGGAAATGTTGAAAGCTTTTTCTCTGAGATCTGTAATAAGGCAAGGATGTTCACTTTCACTCCTTTTATTCAACATTAATACTGTTAAGTCTTAGCCAGAGCAATTATATAAGAGAAAGAAATGTAGGCCATTCAAATTGGAAAGAAAGCAGTCAAATTGTCTACCTTCATAGATGATATAATCTTATATTTAGACAAACTTAATGACGCCACCAAAAACTGATAGAACTGATAATGAAATCAGTAAAGTTGCGGGATACAAAATCAACTTATTGAACTCAGTAGCATTTTTATATGCTAACAGTTAACAATCTGAAAAACAAATTAAGAAAGAATTCTCATTTTCAGTAGCTATAAAAAATATATACCTAGGCATAAATTTAAGCAAAGTAAAAGATCTGTACAAAAAAAAACCCTGATGAACAAAATTGAAGAGAACACAAAAAATGGAAAGATAATCTGTATTCATGAATTGGAATAATTAATATTGATAAAAATATTCATAATACACAAATTGATATACAGATTCAATAATATAGCTATCAAAATAGCATTAACATTATCAGCAGAAATATTATTATAAACCATTCTATCATAAGGATACAAGCACGTTTATGTTCATGGCAGTACTATTCATAATAGCAAAGAAGTGAAACAAACCTGCACATCTTACACATGTACTCCTAAACTTAAAATAGAAGTTAAAAAATCTTAATATTTATAGGAAACACAGAAGGAAACCTTTTATAGTCAAAGCAATCCTGAGCAAAAAGAACAAGGCTGGAATCATCAAACTCCCTAACTTTAAAATATACTACAAAGTTCTAATAATAAAAAAAGGTATCAGTATAAAAAAAGACACATAGATCAATGAAGCAGAGTATAGAACCCAGATCTAAATGAATTTATTTACCACCAACTCATTTTTGTCAAAGGGCCCAAGAATATGCATTGGCGAAAGGGCAGTCTATTTATAAATGGTGGTGAAAAAAATGAATATCCATATACAGAAAAATAAAATTAACCCCTATCTTTCACCATATATAAAAATAAAATGAAAGTAGAATTAAAGACAGATGGAAAATACAAAATTATGAAACTATTAGAAAAAATATTAAGCAAATGCTATAGGACATTGATCTGGGCAAAGAGTTTTTGCTTAAGACTTCAAATGCACAGGCAAAGTAAAAATAGGCAAATGGGATTAGAGTAGGGGAAAAAGCCTCTACACATCAAAGAAACAATCAACAGAGCAAAGAGACAATGTAAAAAATGAGAGAAACACATTTGTAAACCATCCATCAGATAAGAGATTAATATCCAGAAAATATAGACAACTCAAACAACTAGATAGTAAAAATGCAAATAATCCAATTCCAAAATGGGAAAATAAAATGAATTGACATTTCTCAAAACAAGACATACAAATGGCAAAGTGGTATATGAAAAATGCTCAACATCATTAATCATAAATGTAATGTAAATCAAAACTTCAGTGAGACATCTCACCCATATTAAAGTGGCTACTATCAAAAGGCAAAATATAACAGATGCTGATGAGGATGCAGCAAAAGAGGAATTCTCATAAGTATTGGTGGGATATAAATTAGTACCACCGTTATAAAAAAATAGTATGGAGTTTTTTTTTCCTTTTTTAAAAATTGTACTTTAAGTTCTGGGATACATGTGCAGGACACGCATGTTTGTTACGTAGGTATACATGCGCCATGGTGGTTTGCTGCACCAACCAACCAGTCATCTAGATTTTAAGCCCTGCATGCATTAGGTATTTGTGCTAATGCTCTCCCTCCCCTCATCCCCCACCCCCTGACAGGTCCCAGTGTGTGATGCTTCCCTCCCTGTGTCCATGTCTTCTCATTGTTCAACTTCTACTTATGAGTGAGAACATGGGGTGTTAGGTTTTTTGTTCCTTTGTTAGTTTGCTGAGAATGATGGCTTCCAGCTTCATCCATGTCTCTGCAAAAGACATAAATTCATTCTTTTTTATGGCTGCATAGTATTCCATGGTGTATATGTGCCACATTTTCTTTATCCAGTCTATCATTGATAGGCATTTGGATTGGTTCCAAGTCTGGCTATTGTAAATAGTGCTGCAATAAACATACGTGTGCATGTGTCTTTATAGTAGAATGATTTATTATAATACTTTGGGTATAAACCCAGTAATGGGATTGCTGGATCAAATGGTATTTCTGGTTCTAGATCCTTGAGGAATCATCACACTGTCTTCCACAATGGTTGAACTCATTTACACTCTCATCAGCAGTGTAAAAGTGTTCCTATTTCTGCAAATCCTCACCATCATCTGTTGTTTCCTGACTTCTTAATGATCGCCACTCTAAGTGGCATGAGATGGTATCTCATTGTGGTTTTGATTGGTGTTTCTCTAATGACCAGTGATGATGAGCTTTTTCTCATATGTTTGTTGGCCGCATAAATGTCTTCTTTTGAGAAGTGTCTGTTCATATCATTCACCTACTTTTTGATGGTTTTTTTTTCTTGTAAATTTGTTTAAGTTAGTTGTAGATTCTGGATATTAGACCTTTGTCAGATGGGTAGCTTGCAAAAATTTTCTTCCATTCTCTAGGTTGCCTGTTCACTCTGATGATAGTTTCTTTTGCTGTGCATAAGCTATTTAGTCTGATTAGATTCCATTTGTCAATTTTGGCTTTTGTTGCCATTGCTTTTGGTGTTTTAGTCATGAAGTCTTTGCCCATGCCTGTGTCCTAAATTGTATTGCCTAGGTTTTCTTCTAGGGTTTTTACAGTTTTGAGTTTTACATTTAAGTCTTTAATCCATCTTGAGTTAATTTTTGTTTAAGGTGTAAGGAAGGGGTCCAGTTTCAGTTTTCTGCATATAGCTAACCAGTTTTCCCAGCACCATTTATTAAATAAGGAATCCTTTCCCCATTTATTGTTTTTGTCAGGTTTGTCAAAGATCAGATTGTTTAGATATGTGGTATTATTTCTGAGGTGTCTGTTCTTTTCCATTGGTCTATATATCTGTTTTGGTACCAGTACCATGCTCTTTTGATTACTGTAGCCTTGTATAGTTAGAAGTCAGGTAGCATGATGTCTCCAGCTTTGTTCCTTTTGCTTAGGATTGTCTTGGCTATACGGGCTCTTTTTTCATTTCATATGAAATTTAATGTTGTTTTAATCATTCTGTGAAGAAAGTCACTTGTAGCTTGATGGGAATAGCATTGAATCTATAAATTACTTTGGGCAGTATGGCCATTTTCATGATATTGATTCTTCCTATCCATGAGCATGGATTTTTTTTCCCATTTGTTTCTGTCCTCTCTTACTTCCTTGAGAAGTGGTTTTTAATTCTCCTTGAAGAGGTCCTTCATGTCCCTTGTAAGTTGTATTCCTAGGTATTTTATTCTCTTTGTAGCAATTGTGAATGGGAACTCACTCATTATTTGGCTCTCTGCTTGTCTATTGTTGGTGTATAAGAATTCTTATGATTTTTGCACGTTGATTTTGTATCCTGAGACTTTGCCAAAGTTGCTTATCAGCTGAAGGAGTTTTGAGGCGAGACAATGGAGTTTTCTAAATACACAATGTTGTTATCTGCAAACACAGACAATTTGACTTCCTCTCTTTCTATTTGAATATCCTTTCTTTCTCTTGCCTTATTGCCCTGGCCAGAACTTCCAGTACTATGTTGAATAGGATGGTAATAGAGGGGATCCTTGTCTTGTGCTAGTTTTCAAAGGGAATCCCTCCAGCTTTCACCCATTCAGTATGATATTGGCTATGGATTTGTTATAAATAGTTCTTATTATTTTGAGATATGTTCCATCAATACCTAGTTTATTAAGGGTTTTTAGCATGAAAGGATGTTGAATTTTATCAAAGGCCTTTTCTGTATCTATCGAGATAATCATGTGGTTTTTGTCGTTGGATCGGTTTATGTGATGGATTACATTTATTGATTTGTGTATGTTAAACCAGCCTTGCATCTCAGCGATAAAGTCGACTTGATCTTGGTGGATAAGCTTTTTGATGTGCTGCTGGATTTGATTTGCCAGTAATTTATTGAGGCTTTCCGCATCGATATTCATCAGGGATATTGACCTCAAATTTTCTGTGTGTGTCTCTACCAGGTTTTGGTATCAGGATGATGCTGGCCTCATAAAATGAGTTAGGGAAGAGTCCTTCTTTTTCTACTGTTTGGAATAGTTTCAGAAAAAATGGTACCAGCTCCTCTTTGTACCTTTGGTAGAATTCGGCTGTGAATCCATCTGGTCCTGGGCTTTTTTTGTTTTAGTAGGCTATTAATTACTGCCTCAATTTTAGAACTTGTTATTGGTCTATTCAGGGATTCAACTTCTTCCTGGTTTAGTCCATTTTTTTCTAGATTTTCTAGTTTATTTGCATAGAAGTGTTTATAATAGTCTATGATTGTAGTTTGTGTTTCTGTGGAATCAGTGGTGATATTCCCTTCATCATTTTTTTTTTTGTCTATTTGATTCTTCTCTCTTTCCTTCTTTATTAGTCTAGGTAGTGTTCCATCTATGTTTTTAATCTTTTCAAAATACCAGCTACTGGATTCATTGATTTTTTGAAGGGTTATTTTGTGTGTCTCTATCTCCTTTAGTTTTGCTCCAATCTTAGTTATTTCTTGTCTTCTGCTAGCTTTTGAATTTGTTTGCTCTTGCTTCTGCTTGATAATGAGCTGAGTTCAAGTCCTGGATATCCTTGTTAATTTTCTGTCTCATTGATCTGTCTAATATTGACAGTGGGGTGTTAAAGTCTCCTACTACTATTGTGTGGGAGTCTAAGTCTCTTTGTAGCTCTCTAAGAACTTGTTTTATGAAACTGGGTGCTTCCGTATTGGTTGCATATATATTTAGGATAGTTAGCTCTTCTTGCTGCATTGACCCCTTTGCCATTATGTGATGCCCTTCTTTGACTTTTTTAATCTTTGTTTTATCAGAGACTAGGATTGCAACCCCTACTTTTTTTTGCTTTCCATTTGCTTGGTAAATATTCCTCCGTCCCTTTATTTTGAGTCTAGGTGTGTCTTTGCACATAAGATGGGTCTTCTGAATACAGTACACTGATGGGTCTTGACTCTTTATCCCATTTGCCAGTCTGAGTCTTTTAATTGTGGCATGTAGCCCATTTACATTTAAGGTTGATATTGTTATGTGTGAATTCGATTCTGGCATCATGATGCTAGCTGGTTATTTTGCACATTAGTTGATGCAATTTCTTTATAATGTCATTGGTCATTATATTTTAGTGTGTTTTTGCAGTGGCTAGTACCAGTTTTTCCTTTCCATATTTAATTCCTCCTTCTGGAGCTCTTGTAAGGTAGGCCTTGTGGTGACAAAATCATTCAGCATTTTCTTGTCTGGAAAGGATTTTATTTCTCCTTTGCTTAGGAAGCTTAGTTTGGCTGGATATGAAATTCTGGGTTGAAAATTCTTTTCTTTAAGAATGTTGAATATTGGCCCTCAGTCTCTTCTGGTTTGTAAGGTTTCTGTAGAGAGATCTATTACTAGGCTGATGGGCTTTCCTCTCTAGGTAAACTGACCTTTCTCTCTGGCTGCCCTTAATATTTTTTCCTTCATTTCAACCTTGGAGAATCTGACAGTTATGTGTCTTGGGGTTGGTCTTCTCGAGGAGTATCTTAGTGGTGTTCTCTGTATTGAGTTGAATGTTGGCCTTTCTTGCTAGGTTGGGGAAGTTCTCCTGGATAATATCCTGTAGTGTGTTTTCCAACTTGGTTCCATTCTCCTTGTCACTTTCAGATACACCAGTCAATGGGAGGTTTGGTCTTTTCACATTGACCCATATTTCTTGGAGGCTTTGTTCATTCCTTTTCATTCTTTTTTCTCTAATCTTGTCTTCACACCTTATTTCAGTAAGTTAATCTTCAATCTCTGATATCCTTTCTTCCACTTGATCAATTTGGCTATTAATACTTGTGTATGCTTCACAAAGTTCTCGTGCTGTGTTTTTCAGCTCCATCAGGTCATTTATGTTTCTCTCTAAAATGGCTAGCCTATTTAGCATTTCCTGTAACTTTTATCAATGTTCTTAGCTTCCTTGCATTGGGTTAGAACATGCTAATTTAGCTCAGAAGAGTTTGTTATGACTCACTTTCTGAAGGCTACTTCTGTCAATTCATCAATCTCATCCTCCATCCAGTTTTGTGCCCTTGCTGGAGAGGAGTTGCAATCCTTTGGAGGAGAAGAGCCTCCAATTTTGAAATTTTGAAATTTTCAGTGTTTTTGCGCTGGTTTTTCCTCATCTTCGTGGATTTATCTACCTTTGATATTTGAGGCTGATGACCTTTGGATGGAGTTTTTGTGTGGGAGTCCTTTATGTTGATGTTGATGTTGATGTTGTTGCTTTCTGTTTGTTAGTTTTTCTTCAAACAGTCAGGCACCTCTTCTGCAGGTCTGCTGCAATTTGCTGGAGTTCCAGTCCAGACCCCGTTGGCCTGGACAGGCTGCAGAACAGCAAAGATTGCTGCCTGCTCCTTCCTCTGAAAGCTTTGTCCCAGAAGGCACCAGCCTGATGCCAGCCGGAGCTCTCCTGTATGCAATGTCAACCCCTGTTGGGAGGTTTCTCCCAGTCAGGAGGCTCAGGGGTCAGGGAACCACTTGAGGAGGCAGTATGTCCTTTAGCGGAGCTGGTGCGCTGTGCTGGGAGAATCTCTCTTGTCAGGATCAGCTACTCTCTTCAAAGCCAGCAGGCAGGAATGATTAAATCCACTGAAGCTGCACCCACAGCCACTCCTTCCCCCAGGTGCTTTGTCCCAGGGAGATGGGGGTTTTGTCTGTAATCCCCTGACTGGGGCTGTTACCTTTCCCTTACAGATGTCCTGCCCAGTGAGGAGGAATCTAGAGAAGCAGTCTGGCCAAAGCCACTTTGCTGCACCCAGCCCAGACTTCCCAGCCTCCTTAGTACTGTCAGAGAATAACGGCTCAGTAAAGCCTCAGTTATGTTGGAAGCCCCTCCCCCTACCAAGCTTGATCATCCGAGGTCGACTTCCGACTGCTGTGCTGGCAGTGAGAATTTCAGGCCAGTGGTTCTTAGATTGCTGGGCTCTGTGGGAGTGGGACCTGCTGAGCGATACCACTTGGCTCTCTGGCTTCAGCCTCCTTTCCAGGGGAGTGAATTGTTCTGTCTTGCTGGGGTTCCAGGCACCACTGGGTTATGAAAAAATACTCAGCTAGCTCAGTGTTTGCCCAAACAGCTGCTTAATTTTGTGCTTGAAACCAGGGCCCTGGTCGTGTAGGCAAATGAGGGAATCTCCTGATCTGCAGATTGCAAAAACCATGGGAAAAGTGTAGTAACCTCGCCAGGTAGTACAGTCCCTCACGGATTCCCTTGGTTGTGGGAGGGAGGTCCCCAGCTCCTTGCACTTCCCGGGTGAAGCAACTCCCCACCCTGCTTCTGCTCGTCCTCCATGGGTTGGACCCACTGCCTAACCAGTCCCAATGAGATAAACTGGGTACCTCAGCTGGAAATGAAGAAATCACCCACCTTCTGCGTTGATCTCACTGGGAACTGCAGACCGGAGCTGTTACTATTAGGCCGTCTTGACCTCTCCCCTACCCCTCCTTTTTTTTTTTTTTTTTTATAGAACTAAAAATAGAACTGCCATATGATTCAACAATCTCACTGCTGGGTATATACCCTAAATAAAGGAATTTAGTAAATCAAAGACATATATGTTCTCCCATGTTTACTGTAGCACTATTCACGGTAATCAAGTTTTGGGATTAATCTGTGCCCAATCATGGATAAATGAATAAAATGTTGTAAACATATATATATATATACACTAGCGGCCATTATGTTAAATGAAATAGGCCAAGTGTAGAAAAAAAATCACATGTGGGAGGTAAAAATCTTGTTCTCATGGAGGAGGAGAGTAGAATGGTAGTTATCCAGAAAGAGTAGGGGGTATAGGGGAGTTAAGCAAGTTTGATTAATGGAAATAGATACAGTTAAATAATAGGAATAAGTTCTAATATTTGGTAACACAGTGAGGTGACTATAGTTATCAATAATTTTTTGTATATTTCAAAATAGCTGTAATAGAAAATTTGGAATGCTCTTAACATTAAAAAACGATGAATATTTGAGGTGATGGATATGCCAATTATACTGATTTCATCATTACACATTATATGCATGTGTCAAAATATTACATGTATCCCATAAATATGTACAGTTATTATGTATTGATAAAAAATTGATATGATTTGGAACATTGGAATGAAGAAAGGGAATCAGAAAAAATACTTTTTTAGTTTGCATTACTCCCCAAAATCTGAAAAGATTTTCAGTATCTGAAAGGTCCCCCTCTTGCACCACAAAAGGTCAATTTGTAGTAGCTCTCTACTTTCCAACATGTCCCACAACATTTTATATTGTGTATAAGTTCAGGGTAAAATTTATCCCTATAAATCTTTTTTAGCTATATAAAATTTCAGAAATAAATGAAGGTATGGAAGCAATTGAGTCTAACCCTTTCACAGACTTTTCTACAAGTAGAAATACAGAGACACAGGGAAGATAAATTGCCTAAGTCATGTTACTAGTTACTTACAGAACTAGGTACAAAACTTAAATGTCTTTAAAATTTAGATTTCTTGTCTCCTGATTATATATTTTTTTTTCACTTTGGGTTTGGAAGAACCGTTTACTTGGCCACAAAAGCCTACTGTATGCATTGGCATGCATTTTCTTATATTGTATAATGAGTAGCACCAGTCACAGCTCTTTGGCTCCCAAATTTATCCCACTGTCTGCTGTATCGATGTGATTCCACTATTAATAAGTCATTTTTAGGAAGGCTAGTCTTCTCAATTTTCCTTTACAAAAATACAGATCCACTGTCTACCAACCCACATGACTAGGTTTTCACGGAAGAATATGACAGACTTCTGTGAATAATTTCATGGTCTTCAAGGTACCAATGGCCTGCTACTCAGGGTAAGCAGAAACAGTGTCTTCTCCATAACAATGAAAGGTGTTTGAATAGGGAACCCTTCTGTGGGAGTAAAACAGAGAGGAAAACTTGAAACTTGAATTTAGGCCATTTGAGGCTTCCAAGTTTCTCCCAGATGGCAAGGCTTGCATAATATTGAGCCTTAATTTTAGGCCCTAAACCATAGGTTTTAAACATGAGGACATTTCCAGGGATGACTCTTAAAAGATTTTTTGATATTTGAAATATAAGGACCTAAATATTTGGGAAATGATGTCATCAGGATGGTAAAGTGGGAGATACCAGCTTTATTCTTCTATTAAAACCAATAATTAGACAACTACCAGTGAATGAAAATAGCCTTGAGAGGGCCCAAGAGTCCAATTAAAAACCTCCAGTAAAACAGTGGAGAAAAAAAATAACCACATAGAAAAAGTTTCTGGGGAGATCAGCATACCTGAGATGTGTGAAGATCATGGGAACAAAGGAAAAGGGCAGAGACTATCAATATTAGTGACAAAGCAGGTGCCACCTTGGTCCCAGTGCCCTGATCTGCAGAGGACCCTGACCACTTTAATCACTGAAGTAACCAACAGCCATCACCATCATGGACCCCCTGAACAGTGATTTGTTGCGGTGCACTTCCTCAGGAAAACACCACTGTAGTGCTACCCTGAGGCTGAGCTGTCACCACCCCCAACAAAGCATGCCCCAGACCCAAGTGCCACTGTTACTCTGTACCTGTCTATGCTCCAGACCCTGGCCTGTAGCTTTGTGCAGTTTGAAAATGGGCAATGTGATTCCTTCAGCTTTGTTATTCTTGCTTAGGATTGCCTTGGCTATACTGGCTCTTTTTTGGTTCCATATGAAGTTTAAGATTTTTTTTTTCTATTTCTGTCATTGGTAGTTTGATAGAAATAGCATTGAATCTGTAAATTTCTTTTCACCATATGGCCATTTTAAGGATATTGATTCTTTTTACCCAAGAGCATGGAATGTTTCTTCATTTGTCTGTGTCATCTCTGATTACTCTGAGCAGTGTTTTGTAACTTCATTGAAAAGGTAGGGATCTATGAGGCCAGCATCATCCTTATACCAAAACCTGGAGGAGTCCAAAAAAAAGTAGGCCAATATCCTTAATGAACTGAGATGCAAAAATCTTCATCAAAATACCAGCAAACTGTATCCAGCAGCACATCAAAAAGCTAATTCACCATGATCAAGTAGGCTTGATCCTTGGGATGCAAGGGTGGTTCAACATATGCAAATCAATAAATGTGATTCATCAAATAAATGGAACTAAATACAAAGCCACATGATTATCTCAATAGATGCAGAAAATGCTTTTTATAAAATTCATCATCCCATCATGTTAAAAACCCTCAATAAACTAGACATTGAAGAAACATAATTCAAAATAATAAAAACCATCTATGACAAAGCCACAGCCAACATCATACTGAATAGGCAAAAGCTGGAAGCATTCCCTTTAAAACCAGGAAGAAGACAAGGATACCCTCTCTCATCACTCATACTTAACACAATATTGGAAGTCCTGGCCAGAGCAATCATACAAGAGAGAGAAATAAAATGCATCCAAATGAAAAGTGAAGAAGTCAAACTATCGCTGTTTTTGGATGACACGATTCTATATCTAGAAAACCCCCAAAACCTCACAGTCTCCACCTAAAAGCTCATTGAGCTGATAAGCAACTGCAGCAAAGGGATACAAAATGAATGCACAAAATCAGACACATTCCTATACACTAAGAGCACCCAAGCTGAGAGCCAAATCAGGAACATAAGCACATTCATAATTGCAACAAAAAATAAAATATCCAAGAATACAGGTATTCTAATAACTATATTCTAACATATTGGATAACCTAAAAAAATTGATAAATTTCTAGACACATACAACATTTCAAAACTGAATTAGTTATATTTCAGATTGAAAACCTAAATAGAACAATAATAAATGATCAATGGAATCATTGATAAGAAACTGATTCATTAAAGTCTAGGACCTGATGCCTTTATTTGTGAATTATACTAAGCATTTAAAGAAGAATAAAAACCAATTATTCTCAAACTGTTACAAATATTTGAAGCGGAGAGAATATTTTCAAACTAATTTTACCTATTTGGCATTACCCTGATACCAAAGTTAACCAATGGCACTATAAAAAAGTAAATTACAGGCGAATATCCCTGATGAACACAAATGTAAAAATACTCAACTACATAGTAGCAACCCAAATTTTGCAGTATGTTAATTGACTCATACATTATGATAAAGTAGTATTTATTCTGTGATGCTAGGAATTTTTAACAAACACAAATCAATGAATGTGGTACACTGCATTAAAGAATGAAAGACAAAAACCATGATAGTTTCAATAGATGCAGAGAAGCAGCTGACAAACTCAATCTCCTTTCATGATAAAAACTCTCAGCAAATTAGGTATAGAAGAAATTTCACTCAACACAATAAAGGCCACGCATCACAAGGCCACAGCTAACATCATACTCTAAGGTAAAAATTTGAAAGCTTTTTCTCTAAAACAAAGAGAAGACACGGATGCTTACTCTGGCCACTTGTATGTAACATAGTACGAAAATTCCTAGTCAGAGAATTAAGGCAAGAAAAGAAACTACAAAGCATCCACATTCAAAAGAAATAAGTAAAATTTTGTTTCCAGATGACATGATCATATATAGAAAGTCTTAAAGACTCCAACAAAAAAAAAAACTGTTAAAACTAATGAATGAATTCAGTGCATTTGCAGGATACAAAATCAACACATAAAAATCAACTGCAATTCTACACACTAAAATAAACTACTGAAAAAGTACCTAATGAAACAATGAGGAACTCAGTCTTACAACCACAGTGAATTCAATTCTGCCAATAACCTGAATGAACAAGTAAACATATTCTTCCTTACTGCCTTTAGAAGACAGCAGACTTGCCAATATCTTGATTTGGGTATTGTGAGACTCTAAGCAGAGAAAATAGTTGAGCCATGCTGTACCTGGACTTCTCTGACCTACATAACTGTGACATAATAAACTTGTGCTGATTTAAACTGCTAAGTTTGTGATAATTTGTTACAATAGTAGTAGAAAGTTAATATATGCCAATGGACTGAAACCTCTATGAAGACAGGGTTTATATCTGCCTTTGCTCCTCAAAATATCCCCAGTGAGTAGCTCTGTGGCAGAAAGTAGTTGCTTAGTCAAGATTTGTTGAACTCAAGAGAACCATATAGGAGACAAGGAGAGTTCCTGGGTATTACTTGGAGGCAGGCAGACATTAGAAGAAATATTAACAGAAAAATGGAAATAGGGGAAAACATAGGCCAGTATAGTCAAATGTTCATGATTTTTCCAAGATTCCGCTCTTATAGCTGGTTTTATTTAGAAAAGATGGTGTACATGCTGTCTGGAACAACCAAAAAAAAAAAATAGCCTGTGATACAATCGGCTGTGATATCTGCAAGAACTTAACTCTCTGTGACTTGAATCCAGAGAATTCTGGCAAGTTTAGACAATGCGACACAAGTGTTTATTTCACCAATGTCTCAAATTCCACTGTTTCTTTACAATAATTGCTTTACCCTCATTTAAGTGTTATGTTGTACATGAGCATATTTAAGGTACAGATCGAAGCTCCCTGCAGAATGCCTTGAATCATCAGCTTCAATAGCTTTATAGACCATGTAATCATACAAATAAAATCCCAAAGCCTATTCAGCTTACTCAGAAAAAAACTGCTCTAAATACATTCAATGCTTCTGTATTCAAATAGTTAATTTGCACTATGTTCTGTTAAAGAAAAGAAAAACTGTCACCCTGTCATTTTAGAGTCTGACACTAAGCTTGTCAAAAGAGACAGCTGTTAAACTGAATTACTGTTGACATGCAGAGAAACGGCCCTTGCCAGATGTAAAAGACATCTGCGGCAATGAAGTGGTACAGGATGGCTTTTCAAATGTGGTCACACTGGTATTTGAATAGCATGTCTATGGCATGAAAACATGGCCTTGACTCAGTCCGTTTAAGGCAGCGAACCGAAGCCAATGAGAAGCACAAAGAAATTTCACTCTCTGTTGCTGTATCCATAACTTATGCCTGGGTGTGAAAACAGTACAATAATGAAGACTTCACACTCTTATCTTGTATACAGAAGCAGGGAGGCTTAAAGCATAGCAGAAAATAATTTGAGTTTTCCAGGTCCTTGACTATGTGGATAGGTGAGGCGCAAATTTATGAAGTAGATTATGCAGAGAATTAATGAAAATAAGCCTTGTAATCTAGTAATACGTGTTTCTGTGATAATTGTAAATGGTGTTAAGTTGGTGAAGTTTGGTAGTTGAACTATTCTAACACTGCCTTTCAGGGATCCCAAGGACTGAAGAATTTACAAATGGACAACACACAAAATCTGTAATAAAAATAAGTTGCATTGATAACCAAACAACAGAGGCAGTTCAACAAATATTTGCTAATTGCCTAATATGTCCCAGCTACTGCATTAGGTATTACTCAGAATACATGAAATGTCCCAAACAGAACCCCTTCTTTCTTAAGGAGCTCTTTGTAGTGGGGAGAAAAACACAAACTTTAAAAAGTGTGTTCTGAGTAAGACTATGATAAGAGCGTTAATAGAGGCACAAACCCCCCACATTTTTATGTATAAGAGAGAAAGATCAGCAAAAGTACATAGAGAAGTTAAGAAATCATCACATTATTAAAAACAGGTATATTTTCATAGAACACTATGAAGAAAAAAAGGAAGGCACAAACAATTTCTAAATGATGTTTAACAAATAATTTGGAATTTAGGTGCTAGACTATACAGCACATTATATTATTTTAAAAATTTACTTTTATCAATATTACTTTCAATGCTAAATCATAAATGTATACATTTATATGCTACAATGTGAAGTTTTGATATATGTATACAATGTGAAATGATTAAATCAAGCTAATTAACATATCCATCACTTCACTTGCCTATTGTTGTTTTGTGGTGAGATATTTGAATTTACTAAGTTATTTTGTAATATACAATATATTATTATTGACTATAGTCATCCTGCTGTGTAACAAATCTCAAAACTTATTTCACTTTTCTAACAGAAATTTTAAACAACACATTCTTTTTATTAACTTTTGTTCTAACCATCTCTCACACTTCCAACAGAACTATAGTTACTTGCAGACTAGACAGCAGAAAATCTGAGATTATTCATCCCTAGATGCTAGGATTAACTGAGCAGTTAAGCTGAATACATATCTGATCTTTCTTTTTTATGATTGGTAAGAGTGAATATCTACTAGCTTGGAATAGACCCAGGAATAGACAAGAAACCATCTCAGAAAGAGAAAGGTGATTCTGCTGCTGTATTAGATACTATTATTCACTATTTATTGGGCTAGTTGCTTTACATTATCTCAGTCAACAGGCACTTTAATGCTTTGGGGAAATATTTACTATTACAATATTTCAGATAAGGAAACTGAAGCTCTGAGTGATGAAATCACTTGCACATACTGCACAGCTAGCAAGTGGTGGATCTCTTGAAATACTTGAGGCCAAAGCCTCTTATCCTCTGTTACTTAAAACTGATTTTTCATGCTTTGGAGTAGAAGCTAGATAAGTTTGCAGAAATATCTGTAACTCCACTTTAAAATTTGCCTTTATTCCCCATCTAGTTAACTACTACTCTCTAAGACACCATATATTCTTAGTTGGCCCAAAATTTCTTGGTGAATCATTTGGTTTGGCTACCTGTGAATCATAAGAGAGATGGATAGAAATATTCAAAGACTTTAATTAAACAAGAAAGACCTGCAAGGACCAGCTTCATATAGTTCAGAATCATGTCCATTTCGCTGTCAAAAAACTTAAAAGTGTAAGAAATTTGGAGCTGTGTATAATCCTCAATATTAAATTTATAGTAGCCACTTTTAAAAGCATCGCTGACTTTTTTTCACCCTCATAAATAATGTTATCTTTGGGTTTAAAGGGCTGATATATATCATAAATATCTAACTTGCTACTGACATAGTGGGTTTCAGATCGTAGGACAAAGAGTGACAAATTGGGCTAGAAATGTGGTCATTTTAACCATATTTTAGTATACAATTCAGTGGCATTAATTACATCCACAATAGTACACAACCATTACTACTAAATATTTCCAAACAGAAACTCTGTACCCATTAAGCAAGAACTCTCATTCCTCCCTGATCCCAGCCCCAGCAGACTCTTTTTGTCTCTATGAATTTGCTTAATTTAGAAACCTCATGTAAGTGAAATCATGCAATATTTGTCCTTTTGTGAATGACTTATTTCACATCGCATAATGTTTTTAAGGTTCACCCATGTTGTGGCATGTATCAAACTTCAGCTTTATGGCTGAGTATTATTCCATTGCATGCATATACCATATTTTGTTTATACATTCATCTGTTGATAGACACTTCAGTTTTTTTCCCATATTGTGTCTATCGTGAATAATGCTGCTGTGAATACCGGTGTTCAACTGTCTATTTGAAAGCTTAATTTCAATGCTTTTTGAGTTTATAATGAAATGAGGAATTGCCGAGTCATACGGTAATTTTATAATTAACTTTGTGAGGAACTGCCAAATTGTTCTCCATGGCAGATGCATCATTTTACATTCCCACCAGCAATGCACAAGGTTTCCAGTTTCTCCACATTCTCATCAACACTTACTTTCCACTTTCTTTTAAATTATAGCCATCCTAGTAGGTTTGTAGTGATATCTAATTGTGGTTATAATTTGCATGTCTTTAATGACTAATGATGTTGAGATTTGTTTCATGGGTTTATTGGCCATTTGTGTATTTTCTTTGGAAAAAAATTTATTCAAGTCTTTTGTCCATTTTATTTGTTGGGTGTTTTGTCTTCTTTTAATTGAATGGTAGTGGTGGTTGAGTTGTCCTCAATATATTCTAGATATTAATCCCTTAGCAGATATATGATTTGCAAATATTTTTCCCATTCTGTAGATTGTATTTTCACTTCCTTTATTGTGATCTTTGATGCACAAAATTTTTATAAGAAAATTCATTTTTTCTTTTATAGCTTGTGCTTTTCTGTTATATTAAGGAAACCACTCTCAAAACCAATGTAATGCAGATTTTCCTCTATGCTTTCCTTTAAGTTTTCTAGGAATCCAATATTGAGTAGTAGCTAATTTAGAGTTTTTCAATTCATTTTGAGTTCATTTTTGTATGTGGTAAAAACTAAAAATCCATCACTCATATTTTGGCATATCCAGTTTCCCTAGCACTGTTTTTTTATTATTATTTTATTTCCCAATTTAATGGACTGGGCATTTTTGTCAAAAGTCATTTGACCATATATGTGAGGACTTTTTCTGGGCATTCAGTTCTATTCCATTATTTCTATATGTCTGTCCTTATGCCAGTTACACATGGTTTGGAGTACTATATCTACCTTTGTAAATAAGTTTTGAAATCTGGAAGGGTGAGTCATTAAACTTTGTTCTTTTATAAGACTGTTTTGGTTACTCGAGGTCCTTTTAGATTGCATATGAACTTTAGGATGGGTTTTTACATTTCTTCACAAAATGACATTGGGATTTTGATGAGGATTACATTGATTTTCTAGATTATTCTAGGTAGTGTTGATATCTTAACAGTATTAAACCTTCAAATCATAAACACAAGAAGTCTTTCATGTTTTTTCTTTTTAATTTTCTTTCAGTAATATCTTATAATTTTTAATATGTAAGCATTTTTCCTTCTTGATTAAATTGATTCCCAAGTATTTTTGAAACTATTGTAAATTTATTTTTTTAATTGCTTTTTCAGATTACTTATGCTGTTGTGTAGAAATGAGGCTAATTTTTATGTGTTGATTTTGTATGCTGCAATTTTGCTGGATTTCTTGATGAGTTCTAACAGTTTTTACTGTACTTTTCAGGGCTTACTAGAAATAAGACCTTGGTATCTGAAAATGTAGTTTTACAATTATGTTCTAATTTGGGAAACTCTTATTAATTTTACTTGTCTAATTGCTCTTCCCAGAATTTCTAGTGTATATTACATATAGTTATGAAAACAAACATCTATGTTTGGTTCCTCATCCTAAGGGGAAATATTTCAGTATTTCTCCACTGATGTTAGATGTGGGCTTTTCATATATGGTTTTCATCATATTGTGAAAGTTTCTTTCTGTTCCTAGTTTATAGAATGTATTTATTATGAAAATGTGCTTGATTTAGTCAAGTGTATTTTCTGCATCAATTTATATAATCATTTTTTCTTCAATCTATGCCTGTGATGCATTACATGGATTTTTTTTTTTTAAATTCAACCACACTTACTTTCCTGAGATAAACCCCACCAGATCATGGTGTATAATCCTTTTAATATGATATTAGGTTAGGTTTGCTAGTATTTTTTTCAGAATTTCTGCACATATATTTGTATTAATTGGGGTTCTCCAGAGAGACAGAAAAAATATGATAGATAGATAGATAGAAATAGATAGATAGATGAAAGCAGATTAGTTAGGGGGATTAGCTTATGTAATTATGGAGGCTGAAAAGTCCCAAGATAGGCTGTCTGCAAGCTAAATAATTAAGAAAGCTGATGATGTAACTCTCAGTCGAAAGGCCTGAGTCCAAAGCCTGAGAACCTGAGGGGTTGCTGCTACAGGTCCTGGAATTCAAAGGCCAGAGAACCTATGGTTCTAATGTCCAAAGGCAGGAGAAGAAGAGTGTCCCAGCTCCCAAATCCAGAAAGAAAATTTGCCTTTCTTCTGCCTTTTTGTTCTGTCCAGGCCCTCAGCCGATTTGACGGTGCCTGCCCACACTGGCTGAGAGTCTTCTTTACTCAGTCCACAGATTTAAATGCCATTTTCTTCTGGAAACATCCTCACAGACATACCCGGAAATAACTCCCTATCAGCTATTTGGGAATTCTTTAATTCAGTCAAGTTGATCCCTGAAATTAACCCTCATAATATTCATAAAAAACATTAGTGTGTACGGTTTTCTTTGTAATGTCTTTGTCTGGCTCGTTTATCAGGGTAATGGTGACCTATAGAGTGAGTTAGAAAGTATTCTTTGTTTCTATTTTTTTGGTAAAGTTTGAAAAGAATTAGTTTGCATTTTTTTAAATCTTTGGTAGAATTTACAAATGAATCCTTCTAGTACTGGGTTTTTCTTTGTTGGGAGGTTTTTGATTATGGATTAAATTTACTTATTTATTTTAGGTCTATTCAGGAATTTGTATTCCTTCCTATGTCATCTGTGGTATTTTTTGCATTTCTCAGAATTTGTCCATTTTACCTAGATATGCAACTTAGTGACATACAGTTATTCATAGTAATATTTTATAAATGTTTCTATTTCCATGATGTCAGTAGTAATGTTTCCTTTTTATTTATGAATTTAACAATTTTCCTCTTAGCCAATCAAGGTAAAGGTTTTACAATTCTGTTGATTTTTTTTTCAACAAACCATTTTTGGGCTGTATTGGTTTTCTATATTATTATTTTTTCTCTATTTTGTCTATTTGTATTCAAAATACTTAGACTTTTTTTCCTTCATGCTACTTTTGGCATTAGCTTTTCATTTTCTGGTACCTCAAAGTGTACAGTTAGGTTATTTATTTTAGATATTTCTTTTTAATAAATGCATTTACAGATATAAATTTCCATTTTAGCACTACTTTTGCTGCATTCTATGAGTTTTAATATGTTGTGTTTTCATTTTCATTTGTATTGAAGTACTCTCTAATTTACCACAACACTTTTTTTGACCTCTTAGCTAATTGAGGATATATGTTTGACTTTCCATATATTTGTGATATTTCAAGTTTTCTTTCTGCAACTGACTTCTGGTTTTACTTCATTGCCATCAAAAAATATTTTGTATAATTTCAATTTTGAGGTTTATTGAGACTTGCAGCCTAACACATGATCTGTTCTGAAGGATAGTCTTTGTGTACTTGAGAAGAAAACATATTCTACTGTTATACAGTGAATTGTTCCTATGTATTTATTAGGTCTAATTTTTTGTAGTTTTATTCATTTCCTCTGCTTTCTTACTGATCAGTTGTCTTGTTCATTCTATCATCTTATTGCACATTCAATAGAGCTATTGTGATCTCGAACACTCTAGAACTCTATTTCTTTAATTCTTTTCAGTAATTCTGCACGTATTTGAGGAATCTGTTAAGTGTATATATATATATATATATTTATAATTGTTATATCTTCTTGGTGAATTAAAAAATTTATCAATATATAATGTCCTTTGTCTTCTCTGACCTTTTATGACTTAAAAAATCTATTTTGCCTGATAATTTGCCATCTTTCAGACTATCACTGATCCAGAAATTGTGTGAGGCAAGAAAAAATATAACATCACAAAACTGTTAAAGTTACTTTTATTTAACTTGGCTTTTCTTGGTGGCTATAAATCTTTGACTGTTTTTCATATTTATGATACTTGGATATGACCGGTTTCTGGTTATTTTTTGATGTTTCTGTAAAGAAACAGAAATTTGAAAGTTCCTACTCCACTAATTCCTGTTGTCATTTCATATTGTGTTAATTTTTAGTTTTATTTTTCTCTTTATAAGACTTTTGAGACAGAGTTTCGCTCTGCTTTCAGATTCTCCTTTTGCTTTAGGTATTCCAAAAATTTGACAATAATGTGTCTCAGTATGGATCTTTTTTAGTTTAATCTGCTTGGAATTTGTTGGGCTATTTTATATGTAGTTTATGCCTTTCATTAAATTTGGGAATTTATCAGCTATTAGTTCTTCAAATACTACTTCTGCCTCTTTCTTTTTCTCTTCTCCTTCTGAGACTTCCATAATGTATATGCTGGTCTGATTGATGGTGTACCACAATCCCTTAGACTCTGTTCTTTCTGTCCCTCAGATTAAAAAAAATCATTTGGCCTAATCGTTATATATGCTGATCCTTTCTTCTGCCTACTCAAATTTGTTTCTAGAATTCTCTAGTGATTTTAAAATTTTGATTATTGTACTTTTCAGCTCTAGAGTTTTTATTTATTTCTATAATTTTTGTCTCTTAAATGATAACCTAATTTTGATCCTGCATAGTTTTATTTGTTTCTAATCACCACAAAACTTTTCAAGTTACCTTTTTCTATTTGGCTTTTCTTCGTGGCTATAAATCTTTGACTCTTTTTCATATTTCTGATATTTGAATATGACAGTTTCTGGTTATTTTTTGATGTTTCTGTAAAGAAATGTGAGTTTGAAGTTTACTCCACCAATTCATGTTGTCACTTCATACTGGGTTAATAATTTGTCTTTTTTTTTCTCTTTATAGAACTATTATTTTTCTTGAGACAGAGTCTCATTCTGTTGCCCAGGCTGGAGTGCAGTGGCATGATCTCGGCTCACTGCAATCTCTGCCTCCCAGGTTCATGCAATTCTTGTGCCTCAGCCACCCGAGTAGCTGGGATTAGAGACATGTACCACCAGCCCAGCTAATTTTTGTATTATATGAGAAAAAAAGGAGGAACTGCAAACTAAAATCAAAATACCGTGTGTTTTACTTACCCACATAGTTACCTTACTGATGATTTATATAGTTTTTCATATAGCTTTAAGTTACTGTTCAGTGTCCTTTTATTTCAGTCTGAAGGACTTCATTTACTATTCTGGTAGGTCATGTCTTACAGAAACAAACTCCCTCAGCTTTTGTTTATCTGGGAATGTCTTAATTTCTCCTTCATGCTTAAAAGAGTATTTTTGCCAATTATAGAATTAATCATTGATTGTTTGGGTTTATTTTTTGGCACGTGAAATGTGTTATTTCACTGCATCCTGGACACCATTGTTGCTGATGATAAATCAGCTGTGCATCTTACTGAGAATCCTTTGCAACTGATCAGTCACTTCTTGCTCTGTCACCCCAGGCTGGAGTTCCGTGGTGTGATCTCAGCTCACTGCAACCTCTGTTTCCCAGGTCCAAGTGGTTCTTGTGCCTCAGCCTCCAGAGTAGCTGGGATTACAGGCATGTACCACCAGCCCAACTAATTTTTGTATTTTTAGTAGAAACAGTGTTTCCCCATGTTGGCCATGCAGGTCTCAAACTCCTGGCCTCAAATGATCTGCCCATTTCGGCCTCCCAAAGTGCTGGGATTACAGGTGTGAGCCACCATGCCCAGTGAATTCTTACTGTAAGATATTATACTCATTTATTTTATGTCCTGATACTCAGTTGTCTGTTCATATTTAAGAATGATTTTGCTTTTTTATAAGTAGTTGATGATTTATCATTGTTTTTGTGTGTGTAGATCTGTGTCCATAATTGGCCTTTTTCCTTAATGTGAAGCTTGAGTATGGGCTCTTTGTACATTGGTAAGATGTGTTACTTTGCAAGATTTCATTTTGGGTGCATTTGTGGGGAGTCTTATGAGTATATTGTGGAGTAGATTGTGGGAGTCCTTCAAGTGACAGAATGAGGATATCTTTATTCAACTATATCATATCCCACATTTGGAACCCAAGTCCTGTGCAGTCAGTTTATTCACTTTCTTTATTAAATAAACTTAAGGGCATTTTGCCTGCTGGTAACTACCAAGTTTCCTATCATTCTAGAAGGTGCGTGTGTAGGGGGGGTGCATGGAGAGGTACTAATTAGTGATGTTTCCCTGTTTTCAGCCTTATATCATTCCTGTGTTCTGTATTTGCCTGTAATTTCTCTGGTATTCCTCTGGAAATGTTGGATCTTTTCTCCACACTGTGTACATGCACTGCTCTGCCTAGCCTGTTAATATGCTCTCATTAATTTTCTATGTTATATAATTATTTCTTTGTAATTTTTTATTTCCTGTCATTTCATAGGGTTTTAAAGAGGAATGAAGAGTGAAAAATGTGCTCAGTCCACTGGGTGGAAATTAAAACACACCAAAATGATTGTATTTTGTGGGGTGACATTTCTTGCCACCAAAACTGTGCTGAAAGAAATTTTCAGTTGTAGAGTACTTTGGAAAATAAAGAAATAAGAAGTAGGCCAGGAGCAGTGGCTCACGCCTGTAATCCCAGCACTTTGGGAGGCCGAGGTGGGTGGATTACAAGGTCAAGAGATCGAGACCATCCTGGCCAACATGGTGAAACCCCATCTCTACTAAAAATAAAAAAAATTAGCTGGGCGTGGTGGTGCTTGCCTGTAGTCCCAGCTACTCGGGAGGCTGAGGCAGGAGAATCACTTGAAACCAGGAAGTGGAGGTTGCAGGGAGCCGAGATCGCTCCACTGCACTCCAGCCTGGTGACAGAGTAAGACTGTCTCAAAAGAAAAAAAAAAAAAAGAAAGAAAGATAAAAAATAAGAAGTAGTATTAAAGAGGAAAAATGCCTGGGCTTTGTTATGGGAAGCTTAGTCAAACATAAGGAGGAATTTGTGAAAGAAAAAATTAGAGGCTTTAAACTTAGACACCAGCCTAAAATTCCTCTATTGGTAAAACAAAGTGGGAAGGGGATAAATCTGAAAAGAATATCTATTGAGTAATTTTCTTTATTATGTGACAGGTGGAAATCATGAGCTAAAGCTTTACTTGCTTTGTTACAAAACTTTATTAAAGTTTTAAGTTAATATAATTGAGGCTGTGTCATGTTAATATATTAAAAGATCAATCTTCTGTACTTTAAAAATAAGTCTTTATTGTAAAAGAACTGAAGATTGACCATCTGTGAGCAGTAGACAATTAATTTTTTGCATGTTTGAAAATTACATATCTCCTGTGCTGAGAAACGCTTTAATGGAATTAGCTATGAAAAAATTGCAAAGTGTTATTAAAAAGGAACAAATGACATGACCTAGACATTCCCTCATTATATAGTACCAAGTATAAAAATTGTATTTTTTCTCTTGGTTTCAAAATATGTAAAATTTTAGTCCAAAAGAATGAAGTCCTTTCTAGGTTTACTGCTTTTTGAATCCTTTTTTATTCATTAATTGGATCAATATTTATTAAGCACCTACTATGTCCCAGGCACTTGTAGGGGTATTGTGAACATAATGGTTAACAAAATAGACAACATCTCTGTCTTTATGGAGTTTTCTGGGAATTCAGAAAATAAAAAAGTAAATAATAACACAGAATAATTATAAATCCTAATTATAAATCCTAGTAACTACAAAGAAAACACATACTGTTAAAGAATAAGAAGGTGGGAATATTTTAGATAGTATAAACAGAAAAAAACCTTTCAAAGGATATGATATTTAAGTTAAAACTTGAAGAATTAGAAGGTGCTAAACATAGAAAATGCAGGAATGGAAATACAGAGGGACATTTCTGGCAGATGAAACAGCAAGAGTGAAACCTTGAGGCTAAAGCCTTTGCAAAATTTATAAATGAATTTACTCGTAGGAAATTACAGTTGGCCCTTGAACAACATGGGTTTGAACTGCATGGGTCCACTTACACATGATTTTTTTCAATAAATATCTATTTTCTCCCCTTCCACATTCTCTATGTCTTTTACCTTTGCTGTATCTGAGAAAGCTGACCAACCTCTCTTCTTCCTCCTCATCCTCTTCAGCCTACTCAACGTGAACACAATAAAGATAAAGACCTTTGTGATGATTCATTTCCACTTCATGAATAGAAAATATGTTTTCTCTTTCTAATGATTTCTTAATAAAATTTTCTTTTCTCTAACTTACCTTATTGTGAGAATAAAGTATACAATACATGTAACATTGACAGTATTTTTTTCTGAAAGATTTTATGTAACTACAGAAAAAAGAAAACGTGCTAATTTACTATTCATGTTATTGATAAGGCTCTCAGTCAACAGTAAGCTACTAACTTGTTTTAAGACTTTTATATTATGTTCAAGGGTAAATGTGCAGGTTTGTTATATAGATAAATAGTGTGTCATAGAAGTTAAGTGTAACACATTATTCACTCACCATGTAATAATCATAGTACCCAGTATGTAGTGTGTTTTTATTCTTACCCTCCTCCCTCCCTCCACACTCAAGTAGAGCCAAGTGTCTGTTGTTTCCTTCTTTGAGTCCATGCACTCAATGTTTTGTTGCCACTTATAAGTGAGAACATGCAGTATTTAGTTTTCTTTTTCTGTGTTAGTTCATTTAGGTTAATGGCCTCCAGCTCCATCCATGTTTTTGCAAAGGACATAATCTTGTTCTTTCTTATGGTTGTGTAATATTCCATGGTTTATATGTATCACATTTTTGTTATCCAGTCTCCTGTTGATGGGCATCTAGGTTGATTCCATGTCTTTGCTATTATGAAGAGTTCTGCAATCAACATGAATGTGCATGTGTCTTTATGGTATAAAATTTTATATTCCTTTGGGTATATACCCAATAATGAAATTGCTGGGTTAAACGGTAACTCTGCTTTGAGTTTTATTGAGAAATTACCAAAATGCTTTCCACAACGGCCGAACAAATTTACATTCCCACCTGCAGTGTATAAGTGTTCCCCTTACTCCACAACCTCCTCAGATTCTGTTTTTTGTTTTGTTTTGTTTTGTGTGTGTGGTTTTTTTTTACATTTTAGTAATAGCTGTTCTGACTGGTGTGAGACAGTATCTCATTGTGGTTTTGACTTGAATTTCTCCAATGATTAGTGATGTTGTGCATTTTTTTCATGTGCTTGTTGTCCATGTGTATGTCTTCTTTTGTAAAGTATCTATTTGTGTCATTTGCCTACTTTTTAATGGAGTTTTTTTCTTATTGATATGTTTAATTTTCTTATGGATTCTGGGTATTAGAGCTTTTTTGGATGCATAGTTTGCAAATATTTTCTCCCATTCTGTCTGTAGGTTCTCTGTATCCACTGTTGATAGCTTATCTTGATGTGTCAAGCTCTTTAGTTTAATTAAGCCTCACTTGTCAATTTTTGTTTTGTTGCAATTGTTTTTAACGTCTTCATAATGAAATCTTTCTCAGGTTCTATGTTCTGAATGGTATTTCCTAGGTTATTTCCAGGGCTTCCATAATTTTGGGTTTTACATTTAAGTCTTTAATCCATGTTGAATTGATTTCTGCATGTGATGTAAGGAAGGGGCCCAGTTTCAATCTTCTGCATACGGCTAGCCAATTCATTTATTGAAAGGGGAGTCCTTTTCCCATTGCTTGCTTTGATTGACTTTGTCAAAGATAAGATGGTTATCAAAGATAAGAAGCATTGCTTCTGTGCTCTTTATTCTGTTTCATTTGTCTATGTGGCTTTTGTTACCAGTACCATGCTGCTTTGGTTACTGTAGCCTTGTATTATTGTATAAAGCTGGATAATGTGAATCCTCCATCATTGTTGCTCTTGCTTAGGGTTGCCTTCGTTATTCAAGCTATTTTGTGGTTTCTATAAAATTTAAAATTATACTTCTGTGAAAAAAATCATTGGTAGTTTGATAGAAATACCATTGAATCTGTAAATTGTTTTTCGCAATATGGCTATTTTACAATATTTATTCTTCCTATCTATGAGCATGGAACGTTTTTTCATTTGTTTTTGTCATCTGTGATCTTTTTTTTTTTTTTTTTTTTTTTTTGAGACAGAGTTTCGCTCTTGTTGCCCATGCTGGAGTGCAGTAGCGTGATCTCGGCTCACTGCAGCCTCCGCCTCCCTGGCTCAAGCAATTCTCCTGCCTCAGCCTCCCAAGTAGCTGGGATTAAAGGTGCCCACCACCACGCCTGGCTAATTTTTTGTATTTTTAGTAGAGATGGAGTTTCGCCATGTTGGCCAGGCTGGTCTCAAACTCCTGGCCTCAGGTGATCCACTTGCCTTGGCCTCCCAAAGTGCTGGGATTACAGGTGTGAACCACTGCACCTGGCCAGTCATCTGTGATTTTTTAAGCAATGTTTTGTAATTCTAGTTGTAGACATCTTTCACCTCCCTTGTTAGCTTTATTCCTAGGTATTTTATTATTTTTATTATTATTGTAAATAGAATTGGGTTCTTGATTTGGCTCTCAGCTTGAATGTTGTTGGGGTATAGGAATGTTACTGATTTTTGTACATTGATTTTGTATCCTGAAACTATACTGAAGTTGTTTATTAGCTCAAGGAGCTTTTTGGAAGACACATTTGGGTTTTCTAAGTATAGAATCATATTGTCTGCCAACAGAGATAGTTTGACTTCCTCTTTATCCTTTTTAAATGCCTTTTATTTCCCTCTCTTAACTGATTGCTTTGGACAAGACTTCCAGTACTATGTTGAATAAGAATGGTGAGAGAGAACATCCTTGTCTTGTGCCAGCTTTCAAGGGGAATGTTTTCAGGTGTTGCTCATTCAGTATACTGTTGGCTGCAAGTTTGCCCCAGATGGCTCTCATTCTCTTATTATTTTGTTGTATGTTCTTTCAATGTCTAGTTTGTTGAGGGCTTTTAATATTAAGTGATGATAAATCTTATCAAAAGCCATTTCTACATCTATCAAGATAAGTCTGTGGGTTTTGTTTTTAGTTTTGTTTGTGTGGTAAATCACATTTATTGATTTGCATATGTTGAACTAACCTTGCATTCCAGGGATAAAGCCCACTTAATCATGATGGATTTGCTTTTTGATGGGCTGCCGAATTTAGTTTGCTAGCATTTGTTGATGATTTCTGCATCTATGTTTATCAAGAATATTGCCCTGAAATTTTATTTTTGTGTTGTATCTCTGCCAGGTTTGTTATCAGGATGACACTGGCCTCAAAGAATGGTTTAGGGAGGGTTCATACACCTCAATTTTTGGAATAGTTTTAGTAGAAATGGTACCAGCTCTTATTTATACATCTGGTAGAATTTGGCTGTGACTCCATCTAGTCCTGGACTTTTTATGGTTGGTAGGCTTTTTATTACTGATTCAATTTCAGAATTCACTATTGATTTGTTCAGGGATTTAATTTCTTCTTTTCAATCTTGGGAGGTTGTATCTTTCCTGGAATTTATCCATTTCTTCTAGGTTTTCTTTCTGGTGTGCATAGAGGTTTTTGTAGTAGTCTCTGGGTTTTTTTTTTTTTTTTAATTTTGTTCAGTTAGTGGTAATGTCCCTTTTGTCACTTCTGATTTTGTTTATTTTTATCTTCTCTGTTTTCTTCTTTGTTTATCTAGCTAGCTGTTTATACATCTCATTTATTGTTTATAAGAACCAACTTAGATTTGTTGATTAATTTTGGGGTTTTCCCATCTCAATTTTATTCCGGTCAGCAGATTTTGATTATTTCTTGTCTTCTGCTAGCATTGGAATTCGTTTGCTTATGTTTCTCTAGTTACTCTAGGAGTGATGTTACGTTGTTAATTTGAGATCTTTCTAACTTTTTTATGTGGGGATTTAGTGCTATAAACTTTCCTCTTAACACTGCTTTGGCTATGTTTCAGAGATTCTGGTAGGTTGTATCTTTGTTTCAATTAGTTTCGAAAAATATTAATTTCATTTTTTGGTCTTTCAGGAGCAGGTTCTTTAATTTTCATGTAATTGCATGGTTTTGAGCAATTTTCTTAATATTGATTGTTGTTTTTATTGTGCTGTTTTCCAAGAGTTTGTTTGGTATGATTTCAGTTTCTTTGAATTTGCTCTGGATTGCTTTATGTCTGATTGCAGGGTTGATATTAGAATATGTGCCACGTGGTGATGAGAAAAATGCATATTCTGTTGGGATTTAGTGGAGAGCTCTGTAGATGTGTATTAGGTTGATTTGGTCAAGTGTTGAGTTCAGGTCCTGAATGTCTTTGTTAGCTTACTGGCTTAATCATCTGTCTAATACTGTCAGTGTGGTGTTAAAGTCTCTCGTTATTTTGGGGTGAAAATCCAAATCTCTTCATAGGTCTCTAAGAACTTGCTTTATAAATCTGGGTGCTCCTGTGTTGGAAGCATCTATATTTAGGAGAGTTAAGTCTTCTTGTTGAACTGAATATTTTACCACTATGTAATGCTCATCATCTTCATCTTTTATGATCTTTGCTGGTTTAAAGTCTGTGTTGTCTGAAATTAGGATAGCAACCCCTGCTTTTGTCTGTTTTCTATTTGCTTGGTAGATTTTTCTCTGTCCCTTAATCTTGAACCTATGGGTGTCATTGCATGTGAGATGGGTCTCTTGAAGACAACATAGACAGTGGGTCTTCCTTCTTTATCCAGCTTTCCAGTTTGTGCTTTTAATTTGGACATTCAGCCGGTTTACATTCAAGGTTAATATTTATTTATGTAGATTTGATCCTGTCCTGTGTTGTTAGTTTGTTATTATGCAGACTTTTTTTGTGTGGTTTCTTTATAGTGTCAATGATGTGTGTACTTAAGTGTGTTTTTTTAGTGGCTGGTGATGGTCTTCTCTTTCTGTATATTTAGCACTCCCTTAAGGGCCTCCTGTAAGGCAGGTCTGATGGTAATGAATTCCCTTAGTATTTGTTTGTCTGAAAAGGATATTATTTCTCTATCACTTATGAACCTTAGTTTGGCTGGATATGAAACTCTTGGTTAGAGTTTCTTTTTCTTAATAATGCTGAACATAGGCCCCCAGTTTCTCTTCTGGCTTGAAGGTTTTCTGCTGAAATGTCCACTGATGAGGTTTCCTTTGTAGGTGACCTGCCTCTTCTCTCTAGCTGCATTCAATATTTTTTCTTTCATTTCAACCTTGGGGACCTGATGAATGTGTGTCTTGGAGATGGTCTTCTTCTGTAGTATTTCACAGGGGTTCTCTGGATTTCCTGAATTTGAATGTTGGTATCTCTAGCAAGGTTGAGGAAGTTTTCATGTATAATATTTTGAAATGCTTTCCAAGTTGCTTGCTTTCTCCCACTCTCTTTCAGGGACACCAACGTGTCATAGGTTTTGTTTCTTTATATAATCCCATATTTCTCCAAGGTTTTGTTCACTCATTTTTATTCTTTTATTTTTAGTTTTGTCTGAGTTAGTTCAGAGAACTCCTCTTCAAGCCCTGAGATTCTTTTCTCAGCTTGATCTACTCTGCTGTTAATACTAGCCATTGCATTATTAAATTCTTATAGTGTGTTATTCAGCTCTACCAGATGAGTTTGGTTCTTTCCTATAGTGGCCATTTTGTCTATCATCTCCTTTATTGTGTTACTGTAATCCTTAGCTTACTTGGATTGAGTTTCAACTTTGTCCTTAATCTCAATGATCTTCATTCCTATCCATATTGTGAATTATATTTTTGTCAGTTCAGCCATTTCAGCCTCGTTCATAAGCTTTGCTGGGGAACTAGTGTAATCATTTGGAGCAAAGAAGACATTCTGGCTTTTTGAGTTGTCAGAGTTCTTGTGCTATTTCATTCTTATCTGTGTGGGCTGATGTTTCATTAACTGTGGTATAATTTGAGTACAATCAGTTGACTTATTTTCTGGATGTTTTCAGAGGGCTGAGCCTTTGTCCAGGGTCTTCATTTGTAGCAGAGCCCTTGCCCTTGGTTTCACAGGGGGTTACATTAGCAAAGTATTTTTCACGTTGAAGTTTGAGCTGTGACCCTGTAGACAGTGCTCAAGCATAATGGCTGGTATATAGGCTCTTGCTTAGCCACATGGCTCCTTTGTATTTCCTCACAATTGCAGCCATTCTCCCTCTAAATGCTCTAAAAATTTTGGGTTCTCTCTCATGTGACTGTTGGTTGCAGCCCTTGGCTTGGCATTTCCAGGCTGTACACTGCAGCCCTGGGGCAATCTCAATCTTTAAGTTCTTTCCCCAGCTTTGAGGCAGTAGGAGAAGAAAACTTGGAAGTGGCAATGGCAGTGGATCTTTCACTTGTTTCTTGGGGCTCCACCTCATAGAAATGCAGAGCCACTACCAATCAGTCAAATTGACTTGGAATGGGACCACTGCATTTTGGGCCCAAGCTGGGGGGCCCTGCCTGGTGAGCGGTGGGAGGGGCGTGGCTCGCTGGGGAGACCAATGGTGTCTTCTGCTTAGGACAGCTGCACTTGCTGGAGATGTGGTTAAAACACTCAGGATCTTTGCTGTTCTCCAGTCCAAGAGCAGCAAGGGCAGTACCATTGCAGTGACAGTGATGGAAGGGCTTTCAGCTGCCACTGGAAGCTCCACCTTAGAGAAACACGGGGCCACTGCTACTGGGAATTTTTCGGCCAGGGAGTGGAGCAGCTGCTCTGCTGGCCCAAGACAGGGGCCTAGCTTATTGAAGAACAGGGGGTCTAGGGTTTACAGATAAGACAAATTGGGCTCCTCTCCTTATGGTGACTGTGTCATGCTGGGAGTGTAAGTAGAGCCCTCAGGTTCTTTGTTCCTTCTCTAGTCCAAGGTGAGCAGGGGCAGAACTGCTGTGGCTGTCGTGGCAGTGGCAAAAGGGTTGTTGGTTGCCTCTGGAAGCACCTCCCCAGGAAAACACAGGACCTTAGCAGTGGAAATGCTCAGTCTAGGGTGGGGCAGCTTTTCCAAAAATCCCAAGATGGGGGCTTTACCTGGTGAAGAATGAGGGTTGAGGGCTCACAGAGAGGAGAAACGGAGCTCCTCACCCTATGGTATAGGGAGGGTGTCATGCTGCAATCATGAGTAAAGCCCTCAGGCTCTGTTTCCTCTCCAGTCTGAGGTCAGCAAGGGCAGAACCACTGCCTTGGCAGTGGCAGAGGGGCTGTTGTTTACCTCTGGGAGCTCCTCCCACAGGGAAACACAGAGCAACAAGCAGTAGAAATGCTTGGTCATGGGTGAGGCAGCTGTTCTATGGTTCTGAGCAAGGTCCTTGTCTGGTGAAGAGTAGAAGGTGGAGGCTCACAGGGTAGAAACACTGGGTTCCTCTTCACAGGGTGACTGCAGTGTACTGGAAGGTCCAGCATAGTGACCAGGCACTTTGTTCCTTCCCAACCTAAGGACATTAAGGGTGGTACCACTGCAGCTGCATTGGTAGAGGGGCTGTAGGTTTGTCTCTGGGATTCCCTCCTCAGAGCAATACAGAGCTGCCACCAAGTAAAGTGTTCAGATGGGGGCAGGGTGATTGTGCTTGGAGCCCAGGTCAGGAAACATTGCCCAGTGAAGAATAGCAGAGGTGGGTAATTGTGTGGAAGACAGTCTGGCCACTTTTCTGTAAGGCTGCTGCTTTGCACAGGGAGGGAGTGGTCGGTGGCAGGGAGGAATCGGGAGTCAGTCAGGGTGGAAGTCTGAGTAAGTCCCCAACCACTATACTCCCTCCAGAACCAGAGGATAATAGGAGTGAAGGCTGCAGAACAGCAAAAATGTCAGTCTGTCTCTCCCTCTGGAAGCTATATCCCAGGGGATTGCAGAGCTGCTCCCAGCCCCAGAAGTTAGGTGGGGCTGGGGTTGCCTCACTAGCATACCAGGTGAGACTTATCCTGTGAGGTGCAATGGAGGTGAGGCCTCCAGTGCGTTGCTGCTAAATCCTGTGGATTCTGTCCATTTTCTGGAGGCACATGAGGGATCCAGGCCTCCCTTATTGCTGGAGCTGTTGCTGCTTGTGCCGGGATGCCCAGGGATCCAAGTCTCCCAGGACTCCACATGTGCCTGAGCAGCAGCTCTGTCCAGACCCCATGTAGCTTTCTATGTCAGTCTGGAGGCTTTGGTGGGGAGGGCTCACAGAAGAGCTCCTGAACCTCAGAGATATAAAGTTCCATGGTAGAAGCATGTGTCCCTGAGGACTGTCAATCACTCACTATTTCCTTGCAGTAGGGAAGAGGAGAACAACCTGACCCATGGCCTCCCCTGTCTTCATGCCAGTCCTCGGTGGGCAGTTTTCCTATCTTATTCGTCTCCATTTTCCATAGGTCAGGTCGTTCCCTTGATGAATCCCAATGTGTTTACCTGCAGGTCACTGAGTGACAGACAGAGGCTGCAGCAGGGTCACTTAGGGCCTCCTGGCGATGAGCGGTGGCGAAGGGGTGGCTCACTGGGAAGAACAGCTGGCATCTTCTGCTTCAGGCAGCTGCATTTAAGGGATATCTGGCTAAAGCACTCAGGGTCTTTGCTGTTCCCCTTTGCCTGAAGGACACTGTAGCAAAGGATATGGAGCAGTAGAGATGGGACACAAGCTGGGCTGGCTATTAGTTTTTAGTTGTCAAAAGTTATACGTGGATTTTCAACTGTGTGGAGGGTTGGTGCTCCTAACCTCCATGTTGTCCAACACCCAACTGTCTATGTTTATAGAGGCAATATAGTATTAACACTTAAGTGTATGATCTTTAAAGATCAGATAGCTGATGTTCAAATCACAAATTTATCACTTCCGCTAAGTTTTTACACTAGTTTTAAGATCCTGCCTTGTCAAATAACTTCATCTGTGAACCAAACACATCATAAGCACTTGTAAATTATAGTTATAATTTTTTCTTCATTCCTTACTAGACCATGAATGACTTTAGTTCACAAACTACAGCTTAGTAACTATTATATCTCAAGAGCCTATCAAAGTGCATGATCGGTTCTAGCCAATGTTTAATGAATGAATAAAAAAGAATAAAGCATATATATGTGTGTGTGTGTATATATATATATATATATATATATATATATAAATGCTGATGTTTTATTTGGAGTCACTGGAGTAAGTTTATCTAGGGATATATGAAATGCATAATTTAGTGGGGTTTATTTTTGGAAAGTTTTCATGAAATGCCTATTGTAGAACAACCCAGAAAGAGACCAACCACCTGATTAGAGTTCGAACCAGTAAATAGTAAAAAAGAGTTTTTTTATCATGTTGCAAACATGTTGCCAGATATCTTTGTTACTTTATTAGACCACCAGATCACCAGATATATTCATCATCTAACATTTATTCTACACATGATATATCATGTAATTTTTGCTATGACCTATGAGGTAGATGATATCATATCCACATTGTGTAGGTAAGGAAATGAAGGCATAGGGAACATATATAACTGGTCCCCACGTTTACAGTTAATAGAGGGTAGATCCAGGTCTTGAACTATACAGGCTGCCTCTAGACCTAACTCTCTTAACCATTATGCTACATACATGAGGTAAGAGTAACACAGTTGCCTCAGGTCCCTTTTGTACAGATTCAAAATTAAAAATTCAAAAGAGGGTAGACAATTACTTTCATTTTTAAAAAAATGGGCTTATTGCCAAAGGGACGTAAACATGGAAACCTTAACAAGTACAAAGATGTGCAAATCAGTCCAAAATCAGAGTACTCAAAAATTAAAAGCACGTCTTGTTCTATTACAGTATAGTTTTATTTTTTTCTAATTTACTCAAGATTATTTAGGTAATACACAACTTTCTCATTTAACTCACTAAACATTAGATTTCAGTAGCATTGAATTATTGTGATTATACTCTTTAACATTTAAAAATACCAGCAATAAATTATACATTATAGAGAGAGTATAAAATATACCCTTATTGCAACTCTTTGGCAATAAGTAAATCCTTGACCTGCCTTTGGAGAAAAGACATGTAAAACATGGAGAATGTAGCTCAAGAGGAAAATATATCAAGAGCTAAAAAATAAAACAAAATAAAAACCTCTCTTGTTTTATAAGTTTAGATCTATGAGAGACATGTAGTTTCTAAAGTTTGCTTTGGTGTCCACTTCACCTTTTGCAAGATTCCCTTTCCCCACTTCTCTTCCTCTATTCTCACAAACAATTAATGAAGATCTTGCCTGCTGCCTATCAAATACATGTATTCATAATAATCAATTTCTGGGCTGTGAGATATTATACATTAGGAAGGCATTCAAAGAAAAGTATGTGCTATCCTCTCAGACACTCAGACTTGATCAACAGAAAGTTATTTGCATGAACATTTCCCCAGCTTCTGTTAAGAAGAGCCCTCAGTGTGTTATCATTTACAGTTATGCTTTTGGCCTTTATCATAAGCTGATAAAGAAAAGCCACTGGAAGATTATTTGCTGTTTATCTGTTGTCAAACAAGTGTCTGAATACATCAGTCAATGTCCTCTAGAAAAGGTTCGGTATGATAAATTACTTTGTGTTTCTAGCATTAGAAAAATGTTTGTTTTTCCTGAATAATTGATAAGCTTCTGTTTATCAAATAATAAATGAAAAAGGCAGAGAAGTAGCAATCAGAAAGATAACCAGGAGCATGCAATATCATGGAGCTCAAGAGAAGAAAATTATCAAAATTTGTAAGTGGTCAGAAAAGGGGATGATTTGTGGGATAACGCTTCAATTTGTTCATTGGTAATTTTTATGATAGTGGATTAAGAGGGGCCGGCATTGAGTCAATCACAGTCTAATGTTTTGTCTTTAGCTTTCCTCCTGTCCCCTGGGGCCTTTATACAGAGCCTCATTCAATTTTCTTAACCTAGGACAGCCATCCAGGGTTTCTAGTTACTATGCTGGTACTCAACTATTAAAATTCCTTTCATATAAATTTCACCCTTTTGGGGAACAAGTCACAATTTTTTTTTTTCCGAGTAAAGGGAAATAACTTCTTGGCAACATATATTTTATACCATGCTTTAAAACTTCTGTCTTTGTTCCTTAACCCATTTGTCGCACTGATGACCAGTGAGAGAGTGAATAGATTCATCCAAAGACTTGCTTTCCGGAATCTCTCAAATCACACTGCTTAAGCATTTTTCTATTATGCTTCATTATAGATGTTGGAGTAGGCCAACAACCACAAAATGGTAATCTCATTAAATTACATGTATAAAAAATATGATAAATACTTGTCTTATCAGGTACTTTTTCATCGCAAATTGTAAAAAACCAGCCCTTGATAGAGTGTTTAGCATAGTCCTTCTTTTTTTTTTTTTTTTTTTTTTGAAACAGAGTCTTGCTGTATCACCCAGGCTGGAGTGCAGTAGCATGATCTCGGCTGACTACAACCTCCAACTCCTGGGTTCAAGCGATTCTCCTGCCTCAGCCTCCCAAGTAGCTGGAACTACAGGTGCCTGCCACCACACCCAGCTAACTTTTGTATTTTTAGTAGAGACAGGGCTTTCAATATGTTGGCCAGGCTGGTCTTGAACTCCTGACCTCGTGATCTCCCCGCCTCAGCCTCTCAAAGTGCTGGGGTTACAGGCGTGAGCCACTGTGCCCAGCCCTGCATAGTCCTTCTTTATAAGAAAAAATAATAGACTGATAATTGGAATTTAAGAAATAGACCACAACAATTTATCTTTTAATGTATTGTATTTTAAGATCTTTATTCAAAGCTCAGATAAATGTAAAGGTGGCATAGAAGGAAAGAAATTGCACTTGAAACTAATTCTGCTTTCTATAGGGCTTTCATTCAAGAATGAATACATTAATTTTCCATATGTCGTTTCTGAGACCACACTCCACAAAGTCTCAGAAATTAAAGGCACTAGATATAATAAAGGTGAGTATAAAGTGAAGGATTAAAACAGGTTGGTATGTAGAAAGTCTATATGAAGAGCATTAGACACCCAGAGCTCTTCTTCTTGCCTGGTTAGCTAGAAGCCATTATCCACATTTCATCCCTTAAGGAGTAGAATGTTCGTTCTTTGTGGAAACTAAGTGAAAAATTCTCCAGGATCTTGAATACCGGGAAAAGCTAGTCATAATATTTAGGGGCTACAAAAGAGATTAAACAAAAGTTTATGTACTGAATGCCAAGACACCAGTTCTGTACCCTGTCTAGATCCCAGTATTCTGATATATATTTCAAAGGTTCCAAAGAGCAATAATGAGATCCGGCACATTCTGGGTACTATGGCAGTAGAAAAGACAATTTTTGGAGGAGAGTAAACAAGGCAATAGAAACAATTCTCATAAGGACATCAGATCTCTCATAAGTAACTCATAGGTAAAAACTAATAGAATATTGTTTCAAAATTATAAGAAAAATGATTTTGAACCTGGATATCTACACTCAGCCAAACAATAAAGTTAGAGATGTGACTACGAATTTTCAGATATGCAAATATACACACCTTTGAGTGGCATAAGGAGAAGAGCACTGTCAAGAGTTTGAAATACTTCAGAGTGAAAAATTAGTTATCAGAAAATAAAGTTCACAGAATTTGCCAAAAAGAAACATATTCTTTCAGGTTTGGATTAATCTTTTTTTGTTTAAAAAAAAATTTGAAGTGGGTGGAGTAAATTGGAAGTGAGAAAGAGAAGTCAATGTGTACAGAAAACTTTGCCAAAAACTTAACTGTGAAGAGGAGAGAAAGACAGGACAGAACAGCTTTTATATAAAGTTGATTTTGTTTTTTATTTTATGTTTTCCCTTTAAGCTCTTGAAGTCATTCTTTAAGAAGAGCTCTTTTATTGAGAGAAAATTAAGTATACATGTATGTTGATGGACATAGACAGAATGCAAGCAATAAAAAGCCTGGAGGTAGAAAGTCAGAACTGGTGCCGCAGCTTGAGTTATCACAGATATATGTTACTTTTATCTTTGTGTTCCACTTCTTAATACATGACTTCCATTATCAAGGTCATGTCACAGTCCAAGATGGTAATTGCCATCAGCAGGAAGAAAGTAGAAACAAGGAACAAAAAGTGGATTCTCCTCAATCAGCTTTCTTTAAGGAACATTCCTAGAAGAGCCGCATAAAAGTTTCACATACAACTTCTTGGCCAGAACTTAGTCATATGGTACATTTAGCTACAAAGAAATATGGAAAATGTAGTCTTTTATTCTAAGTTCCAATGTGCCCAGCTATAATTTGGCATTCTGCCTATGGGCATTTCTGTATCTGGGATGACTCTTCAAAGTGACTATGCTCTTTTGTCCCTGCAACAGACAGACTCTAATATAAACTTTCCTCTGGGAAAGAGTATAACCTTGGCAAAGGTCAATACACAATGATGGACAAAGCCATGAGCTGTCAGTAGTTTATCTTTTTAGTTGCTAGGCAATGGATACAGCCAGGAAGAAGGAATCTGGGAAGAGCACTACAATATGCACTCTATCTGGTAAATGTGGTGGAGACAAAAACAAACAGGTAAGTGATGAGTATATTGATAAATGAATTGTTAGAGCACAAGGTTGCAACTATATAGGGAAAGAAAAGGGCTAACAGCAAGAGACTAAAAATTTTTATGAGTTGGATACAGTATGGTAAAAAGTTTATATTTCTAACTCTAAAATAATTCAAGACTAGAATTTCTGGTAGGAATGTAGTAATTGGTAAATCTAGCATCAAAACTGGGGAAAACTGAATCCAGCACCTTTGTTCTTATCTCTCTGACAACAGAGATTGAGATGCAGTAGAAACCAGTGATCCAGCTGTCATGTACTAAAAAATGACAGTGAGTGGCTGAGAGGCATAAACCTGACAGAGGGAATGAGGGAAAAATATTGTGTGGCATGAACCTCAAAAGAGTAATTTTTAACAGCAATATGAGAATGTAAGACTATAATTCTGGATCAAGAAAGATGCCATACCCATGGTACCATGGCACCAGATCAATTTTCAGTTCTGACCTTAAGAAGAATGTGATTTTTTTTCACCAAAACACGCAAAGATGATTTCTCCCCTACTTATCAATCTAGCCACTCACCCACTTGTAGATAAGACTGCTAAGCTGCCTGAAGTGTGGGAAGCTAATCTCCATAAAAGAAGTTAGGTACACTGCACTTATGTTAGAAATTGTAAAGCCTTCTGCAGGCTTTCCTAGGATTAACAAGTAATAGTAACCCAAGATTCTCAGGTTTTGGGGGACACACTGAAAAATTATCCACTGGTAACTTGCACCTTGAGTTCTTGTTACAGAAAAGTTTCTGGAAAAAGCCTAGCCCTGGTACAACAAAAATCGATTGAATCCAGAGATGCCTGAGTTGGAGATGAACTTTGTTGAACTCTTCTCATTACCATACTAAAAATCCTGCCAGAGATGAGCTTATTGTCCATTTTCTATACATGTGACATATGTAGAAGCATGATTGACAACTGCACCTGTACTGACTCCATCTCTATATAAAATGACTCAGCTAAATAGCCTAATAAAAGCCCTGTTTTCACCTTTTTGGGGGAAGGCCCTGTTTTGTGGTACTATCCCCAGTGTCTACATTTCTTGTTGCAAGTAATAAAATCCCCTTCTTGGAACAACACACACTGGGGCCTGTGGGGGCTGGGGAGAAGGGAGAGCATCAGGATAAATAGGTAATGCATGTGGGCTTAATAACTAGGTGATGGGTTGACAGGTGCAGCAAACCACCATAGCACACATCTACCTATGTAACAAACCTGCGCATCCTGCACATGTATCCTGGAACCTAAAATAAAATTCCCTTGTTAAATCCTCCTTGATGACTAATAGCAATCTGTGATAAGTCATGAGGGCTTTGAAACAACAACTTAACAAATGTAGACATGTAGTAGGAAAAGTGCAGCATGGCATGCCTAACAAAAGATATATTCTTCATATTATGGGCTACAGTAGTCTTAGTTTCTTATTGAGGAAGGAACAGTGACTATACCAGAACCTGATGTTTACTCTCCACATTTTACATTCTATATGCATATATAGTAAACTGCATGAGTTCTTACTCCTGAGAGTGAGGTTAGTCATTTTCAACAAATCTATATTAAGACTATTACAGTCAAGAATCCGATGTGGAGTGCTTAAAACTTGAAAACAACAAGATTTATAGAATGCTACTTCTATTAAACTTATTAATCTGTTTGTGCACTACACATTATACAATATATATACCCAAATAATACCTGAAATTTAATTGATTCCCATAGAAGTAATTGACCAATCACATCATAAGCAAACCATCTTATTTTTTCAGTTAATTTGATCATAGAACAAAGATGCAAAAGCTGGAGTTTTCTAACTCAGTACTGCTCTGTCATTGTTTCTGTTCTGCTCTGAATTTTTGCTCATATCATATCTGTAAAATAATAATAATACCTTATATTATATAGCTATGAAAATGCTAAGCTGTTGATATATGCAGTATCCCATTTTTTAAAACAATTAATAATATATTGTATTTAACTCAATATGTACAAAATTTCATTATTTCAACATGTAATTAATCTAAAAATAATGAGGTATTTCATAATCTTGTTTTATTTTCTTAATTTTATTTTCATTTGACAAATAATTTCTTTATATTTATGGGGTATGATATGATGTTTTGATGTATGTTTACATTGTGAAATAATTATATCAAGCTAAATAACATTCTTCACTTCACATACTTTTTTGTAGAGAACATTAAAATTTATTCTTTTAGCAATGTTGAAACATATAATGCATTATTATTCACTATGTTTGTCATGCTGTGCAATAAATCTACAAAATTTATTCCTCCTCTTTAACTAAAACTTTGTACTCTTTGGTCAACATATTTCCATTCTTCACCCCACCCCATCCCAGACTCTGGATAACCATCACTTTACTCTCTACTTCTGTAAGTTCACTGTATTTAGATTCCACATATAAGTGAGATCATGTGGTATGCGTGGCTTTGCCTGGTTTACTTCACTTAGCATAATGTCTGCCAGACTTATACATGTTGTCACAAATGACAGAATTTTCTTTTTATATTTAAGGCTAAATAGTAATTCCATTGGGTGCATTTGTATTTATATATAAATATATACATATTTATGTGTGTATACACACACGTACAGGCACTCACCCACACATAGCATTTTCCTTACCATTTGTCCATTCATGGACACACAGGTAGGTTTAATATTTTGAATGTTGTAAACAAAGCTAACTCTAATTCATTCTCTATAACGTCTGTACTAATTTATGTGCCCATCAACAGCGTGCAAGGATTCCCTTTGCTCTGAATCTCGGCCAACACTTGTTATCATTCATCTTTTGGATAATAGCTTTTCTAACAAGTGTGAGGTAATATCTCACTGTGGTTTTAATTTTCATTTTCCTGATAGTAATGTTGAACATTTTTATAAACCAGTTGGCCATTTGTATGTCTTCTTTGAGAAATGTCTATTCAAGTATTCTGCCCATTTTTAATGGAGTTAAAGGCATACCTCATTTTTTTGTGTTTTGCTTTATCTGTGCTTCACAGATATTAATTTTTTTTTTAAAATGAAGATTTTGTTGCAACTCTTTTTTAAGCAAGTCTATCAGTACCATTTTTTCAGCAGCATGTGCTCACTTCATGTCTCTGTGTCACATTCTGGTAACTCTTAAATATTTCAAAATTTTCATTATCGTTATATCTGCTATGATGATCTGTAATCGGTGATCTTTAATATTGTTATTATAATTATTTTGGGGCACCACGAACCATGCCCATACAAGATGGCAAACATAACCAATAAATTTCGAGTGTGTTCTGATTGCTCCACCAACAGGCTGTTCACCCATATCTCTCCCTTTCCTCAGGCCTCTCCATTCCTTTAGACACAACAATATTGAAATTAGTCCAATTAGCAACCCTACAATGGTCTCTAAATATTCAAAAAAAGTTGCAAGTCTCTTACTTTAAATCAAAAACCAGAAACAACTTATCTTACTGAGGAAGGGATGCTGAAAGCTGAGATGGATCAAAAGCTAAGCCTCTTGCATCAGTAAGCCAAGTTGCGAATGCAAAGAAAAAGTTCTTGAAGGAAATTAAAACTGCTACTTCAGTGAACACATACATGATATGAAAGCAAAACAAACAGTCTTACCGCTGATCTGGAGAAAGTTTTTGTGGTCTAGATAGAAAATCAAGTGAGCCACAACATTCACTTAAGCCAAAGCCTAATCCAGATCAAGACCCCTAATTTCTTCCATTTTGTGAAGGCTGAGAGGTGAGGAAGCTGCAGAAAATATTGATTCATGAGTTTTAAGAAGTTTAGCCTTATCCACAACATAAAAGTGCAAGGTGAAGCAACAAGTGCTGATGTGGAAGTTGCAACAAGTTATCCAGAAAATCTACCTAAGATAATTGATGTAGGTGGCTACACTAAACAACAGATTTTCTATGTTCAAACAGCCTTATACTGACATAAGATGCCATATAAGCCTTTCATACCTAAAGAGGAGATGCCAATGCCTGGCTTCAAACTTCAAAGGACAGGCTGGCTCTCTTTTTAAGGGCTGATGCACCTAGTGACTTTAAGTTATGCCAATGACCATTTAATATTCTGAAAATCATAGGGTCCTTAAGAAATGTGGTAAACATACTCTGCCTGTCTTCTATAAATGGGACAACAAAGCCTGGATGACAGCACATCTCTTCAGAGCATAACTTATTGACTATTTTAAGCCACTGTGAGACTCACTGCTCAGAAGAAAGATTTTTGTTTCCAAAATATTACTGCTCATTGACAATGTATACAGTTTCCCAAGAGCTCATATGGGCATCTATAGGGAGTTTTTTATGACTGCTAACACAGCATCCATTCTGTGGCCCATGGATCAAGGAGGAATGTTGACTTTTAAGCCTTATTACTTAAGAAATACATGTTATAAGATGATAGCTGCCATAGATAGTGATTCTTCTGATAGATCGTGGCAACTGAAATTGAACACCTTCTGAAAAGAAGTCATTATTCTAGATGCCATTAAGAAAATGTGTGATTCATGGGAAGAAGTGAAAATATCAGCATTAATAGAAGTTTGGCATAAGTTTTTTTCTAATGCTTATCAATCATTTTGAAGGGTTCAAGACTTCAGTAGAGGGATTCACTGCATATGTGGTAGAAATAGCAAGATAACTAGAAATAGACATGCAGCCTAAAGATGTGAATTAATTATTGAAATCTCATAATAAAACTTGAACAAATATGGAAATGCTTTTTTATGGATGAACAAAGAAACTGGTTTCTTGAGATGGAATCTACTCTTAGTGAAGATGCTGTGAACGTTGTTCAAATGACAACAGAGGATTTAGAATAAAGACACATGCACACGTATGTTTATTGCAACACTATCCACAAGAGCAAAGACTTGCAACCAACCCAAATGCCCATCAATGATAGACTGGATAAAGCAAATGTGGCACATATACACCACGGAATTCTATGCAGCCATAAAAAAGGATAAGATAATGTTATTTTCAGGGACATTGATGAAGCTGGAAACCATCATTTTCAGCAAACTAACACAGGAACAGAAAACCAAACACCGCATGTTCTCACTCATAAGTGGGAGTTGAACAATGAGAACACATGGACAGAGGGAGGGGAGAATCACCCATTGGGGCCTGTTGGGGGTGGGGGGCTAGGGGAGGGATAGCATTAGGAGAAATACCTAATGTAGATGATGGATTGATGGGTGCAGAAAACCACCATGGCACATGTATACCTATATAACAAACCTGCACATTCTGCACATGTATACTAGAACTTAAAGTATAATTTTAAAAAGGCACTATAAAGATGTATCAAGCAATTAATAAAAATATAATGTGTGGAAAAAAAGAATATGATACAAACCTAGTTGGTAATGCAGTGACAGAGTTTGAGAAAATTGACACCAATTTTGAAAGAAGTTCTACTATGAGTAAAATGATACGAAACATCATCTCATCCTGCAGATAAATCTTTTCATAAAAATAAGTCAATAGATGTGGAAAAGTCCATCATTGCCTTATTTTAAGAAATTGCCAGAGCCATCCCAAACTTCAGCAACCACCACTCTCATCAGTCAGTAGTCATCAGCATGGAGGCAAGACTCTTCACCAGCAAAAAATACTATTGAACACCTATCAGTAGTTATGAACTAACACTACACCCCTATTAGAATGGCTAAAATCCACAAAGCTGACAATATCAGTTGCTACTGAGGATGCAGAGAACAGAAATTCTACCACTTGTTAGAGACTTCGGCAGTGTCCAACAAAGTTAAAGATAGTATTATCACATGACCCAGGAGTCATGTTCCTAGGTATTTACACAACTGATTAGAAGAATTACATTTACACTAGTACTTGTATGCAAATGGATTATAGTAGCTTTGTTTATAGTTGTCAAACTGTGAAAACAACCAAGATATTCTTTAACAGATCAAGGGAGAAACAAACTGTGGTACAATTATAAAATCACATATTATTTGATAGAAAAAAAGAAACTATTGATATATTTAACAAGTTTAACAAAATTTAAATAAATTTTGCATAACAGAGTAATGGTGAATACAAAAATCTATGCATTTGTCAAAACCCATAAACCTTTACAGCACAAAGGATCAACCATAACTATTTAAATTTTTTAAAAAGTGTATCAATCAAGATATTGGAGGAATACCAGAATGGAATCCAAGCTGTGATGAAAAATTCTAATTGCATTACCAGTGTATGAGATAAACTCATTGAAGAAGGTATGAGATAAATGTTGACCTAAGTAATTTTGTAGAACAGTGTTTTCACTGAAAAACATCAGAGTAAATGCAAAAGAAACTCTGCCACAAGTACTGGACCCCCGTTGATAGAACTGTTTCTCATAAGGGTGTGGATTAACAAGTATAAACTGCTGTATGTTTATATTGGGATTGAGCAATTGATAACAGAAATGAGATTATCTAGTGATGAGACAGTGAATTACTGATATTTCACCTTCTAAGGACAGTTTTGTGTTGTATTGTTTTTCTGGTGTAATGGGTAAGGCTGAACCTGAGGGTGGAAATAAGTTTACTTGTTTTCAGATTTGAAGAGACAAGTAAGTGAAAATTTAGGCGCTTATTATAAATTAGTCTCTTGACACAGTGCTAATTATAATACCACAAACAATACTTGCAAATCTGACGTCTAAATTGTTCTTGCCACTTGCAAAGAACACTTTTGTTAACTGTGATAAGGAAATCCCATGAAGACAACCAGTAAGGTCTTAGAATTGGTTTTCTTATTTGCACAACGGTTGGCTTTTATTTTGCCTTTCAATGTGTATAATTTATGCTCTGCAGAACTGCATTAAAATGTTTTAAAAATCTGACATTTTATTTGTTTTACTGGGCTGTAAGTTTTTTAATGCCAGAGAGTATGTCTTTTGCAATTTAGAATATTTTACAGTGCTGCACATATAGTAGTAATCAGTAAACATCTGTTGAAAAATCAAGTTTTCAAGTAATTACACTTTGGAAAAAGGATTTTTAGTTAAAATATTTCAAATTAAAAATTCTAAAGTTTAATATTGCATTAAAATGTGCAAAAATTCTAGTTAAGATAATTACCTTTACTTTCATAATATTTGTCACCATTTCTTAGAAATCCACTGGAAAATAAATACTCTTGTGGCACTTTTATTTGAAAAGAGAATTACTGTTGTAGGAGCTCCTCTAAAAGAAATAAATATTTTATTTGAAAAGGGAATGACAGAGAGAGACAAAGAAGAAAGTTGGCAAAGGTAGAGAGAAGTAAAGAAAGTGAAATGGACAGGAGGAAACTGAAGCAGAGATAGAGAAAAACAGAGAAGAAAAAATGTTATGGAGAGAGCAAAACAGAACAAAATAAGGCACAGATACAACTACAGAAAGTGATATGGGGAGATGGAAGAAAATGGAGAGAGTGAGAAAGGGTGAAAAATATAAAAACTAATGAACATATGCAAAGAGAAAGGAGTCATGAAAGAAAGAAACATAAAATCTGAGAAAGAGATTAAAAGAGAGTTGGGTTTGGATCAGAAGAGATGGGGTGAGCACACTCCTTCCTCTCTCTCCCACTGAATGCAACTATCCAAGGATTCTAAAAAGTAAATGATAATAGGAAAATTGGAGAAATAGATCAGAATTTGATATACCACCAAAACAGAGGTAAGTTTCCTATGCCACACCACTTATCCCAGTATTGACTGACTGGTCTAAAAGACAGTTCAAAATCTAGACTACCATACTGGGTGCAGACAAAAAGAACTTTAGAAGAATGCCTTTCTATTTGCTCTGATGTACAGGAAAGGGAGTGTCTAAGTTTCAAAGAACCTTGGGAAAATTCCTTTAGTTATTTTGTCTCTTCAGTCTTATTCCAACACCCAGGTAATGCTGTTGTGTCAAAGTGGTAGTTTGGGCTGGGTAGATGTCTAAAACTCTCAGAGATAAAAGAGTCTTTCTCTGTGACTGAAGAAGTTGTTGTCCCCAGAATGTGTGGTGTATCCCAATTATATTTGGTTTCTATGTCTACTAACTGCTTTCCCTGGAATGCAGCCACAGTGGTGAAATATGTATAGCAGAGTAAAGAAACTAAGGCCTTGGATTTCTGGCAAAAAATACCAGGAGCGTATTCAGGAAACTATAAAGTGCGGGAGAAATCATGGAGATGATGAAAATAATAAGCAATTTCATAAAGTGGTATATGTATACCTGGGGTCATCTCTAAGGATCACATGCATGGATCTATCTTACACATCACACCAATGGCTTTAAAAATTGATCTCCAGAAGAAACTACCACTAAGGTTACAGAAGAGGTACTTGGTGGTACACATGCAAGACTCATCCAAATAACATTATAAAGGTTATATAAACTGAAATGATGATATTTGATTCACAGACCACAGAGGACATGTAGGAATTTACAGAGTAGACCAAGTTTATTGCCTACTAAAGCAAACAAAGCAAAAAAAGAAATCAAGTTTCTCCTTAGGATTCAAAATTCAGGGCCTAAAGGGTCAAACACACTGTACAGATTGAAAGTGCTATAGAGTCTGTGAAAACTGTAGTGACATTTGAAAAAAAGCCCACAGAATGTGGGTAGAAAATTGTGCCTTGACCCTCATTAAGTCAATTGCTTCTAATACAAAACAAAAGGAAAATCAAAATTCCACTCAGAATTTAAACAAGACCTAAGTCTCATAATATAATGTCTAAAAATACAAGAAATAATCCAACAATACATGGCATATAAAGAATCAGGAAGTTACGTCTTTCAAGGGAACTGATAATTAGCAGATATAAATCCAAAAATGATATATATGTTATAATTATCAAAAATTCAGACTTAAAAGCAGCTATTATATAATTATATTCCAAAAAGTAATGGCTCTTTTCAATCAAATGGTAAAATAGAAAGTATCAGCAAAGTAAGAGATGCAAAGAAGATCCAGATAAAAATTAGGCAAATGAAAAATCCAAAAACCAAAATATAAAACTTACTATATTAGATTAATAACAGAATGGAAATGACCGAGGAAAAAGTTGACACACTTGAAAAATCAAAAAAATATTCCGCCTAAAGACTAACAAAAATTAAAAGACCCATGGAGGAGTATAGGACTATAACAAAAACTCTAACATTCAAACATTAGCAATACTTAACATTAAAGGTAGACGGTCCAAATATACCATTAAAAAGACAGAGATGGTTTGAGTGTATTTTTTAAAAAGACTAAATCATATGGTATCTACAAAGAAACTTCCTTTGCTATAATGACATAGGTCCTTTAAAGGAAACAGGATAAAAATATTTCTCATCCAAACTAATTTAAAGAAAACTTGAATGGCACTATCAAACATAGTAAATTTCAGAGCAAGGAAAATACTATATATCAAAAGGAACATCACATAGTTACAAAAGGGTCACTTCATCAAGAAGGCATAACATAGTAATTCTAAAGGTACATGCACTTAACAATATATAAAATATATAAAGCAAAAAAATGCTTAAAATATCTAAAGCAAAAAATTGATAGAACTGAAAAGAGAAATAGAAAATAGAGAAAGGAGAAATGGAAATTGATAGGTGTTAACCAACTCAGAAATTCATAAAACGTCTAGAAAGAAAAAAAATCAACAAAGATGTAGAAAAACTGAACAACACCATTAATAAAGAGGATATAAATGACATTTATAGAACCTTCTACTCAACAATAGCAGAATACAAATTTCTTTCAAGCGTCCATGTAGTCTTCACCAAAAAAGACTATGCCATGGGTTATAAAACAAATCTTGATGAATATAAAAGAACTTCTGTCATACAGAATATGTTGTCCGACTATGTGGAATATAAATCAGACATCCATAACAGAATGATAGATGATAAATTTCCAATACCTGGAAATTAAACAATGCACTTCTAAATAATCTGTGGGTTAAATTAAAGTCTCAAGGAAAATTAAAAATATTTTATACTAAATGAAAATACAATGAGTATTCACTTATAGACCCAACAGACATTAAAAGAGTAATGAGAGAATGCTACAAATAATTACATGCATATAAATCCAGCAACTTTGATGAGCTGGTCCAATTTCTTGAAGCTAAAAGCTCATCCACTAACAAATAGATAAATGTCCTGAAATTGTCTTGTGTCTATTAAAAATGGACTTCGTAGTTTAAAACCTTCCTACAAAGAGAACTTCAGGCCCAATTGGTGTTATTGGCAAATTCTACTAAATATTGAATCAAGAAATAATTCGAAATCTACATAATCTCTTCAAAAAAATAAAGGAGAAAGTGCCATTCCAATTTATTTTATAATTCACTATTAGCCGACGACGAAACAGTCAGAGGCGTCCTAACTAGAGTGACCCAATCTTAAATAAAGGCTGGATAAGGCCAAATCTGTTGGGTTACATTCCCAAGGGGTTGGACACTGTTGGTCTCAAAATGTTTATGGTTGAGGGAATAAGTTAATGATGCTAACTGTGATAGTTAATATTGAGTGTCAACTTGATCGAATTGAAGGATGCAAAGTATTGTTCCTGGGCATATCGGTGAGGCTGCTGCCAAAGGAGATTAACATTTGAGTCAGTGGACTGGGAAAGGCAGACCCACCCTCAATTTGGGTGGGCACAATCTAATCAGCTGCCAGTGTGGCTAGAATAAAAGCAGGCAGAAGAACATAGAAGGATTAGACTGGCTGAGTCTTCCGGCCTCCATCTTTCTCTTGTGCTAGATGTTTCCTGCCCTCGAACATCAGACTCCAAGTTCTTCAGCTTTTGGACTCTTGGATTTACACCAGTGATTTTGCCAGGAGCTCTCAGGCCTTTGGCCACAGACTGAAGGCTGCACTATCGGCTTCCCTACTTTTGAGGTTTTAGGACTTGGACTGGCTTCCTGGCTCCTCAGCTTGCAGACGACCTATTGTGGGATTTCACGTTGTGATTGTGTGAGTCAATTCTCTTAATAAATTCCACTTCATATGTTCATCTATCCAATTAGTTCCATCCCTTTAGGGAACCTTGACTAATACACTAACTAAATAAAGACCCAGGACTTATGAAAATGTCCCAATATTTTAAGAACAAATAGCGTTTTTTATTTTAAGAATAGATTTTGCATTAAAGATAATAGTACACTCATACATTCTTGCTGAAATCAAAAGTAACAGAAAAATAACAATACTAATAGCTTGTCACAAGCTGATCACAAGCTTTTGTAATAAAGAACACTGTTCTTAAAAACATGCATAAACTAACACTACATTTAAGGTAAGGGCATTCCTCCTTTTGCTTTGTGAGGGTGCCCTTTTCTGTAATAGAGGAGTCGCTAATAAACTGTTTTCACTTTACTATGCTCTGTGACTCACCATGAATTCTTACTGTATGAAATCCAAGAACTAGCTTTTGGGGTCTGAGACGAGACCCCTTTTCTGGTAGCAAAACCATAGAATGAATGTGTAGGAAAAAAAAAAAGAAATTGACCAACACCTTTCACAGACATAGATTCAAAACTTCTCAATAAAAGAGTAGCAATTATAACCTAGCAATATTTATATAAAATAATAAACAAAAGCAAATTGAGGTGTAAGCCAGGAATATGTCTTGTTTAATATGCAAATATCAATCATCGTGATCCACTATATTAAGATATTAAATAACAATGGTTAAATGATGATACTGATTCATGTAGAAAAAGCATTTGATGCCATTCAACAAGCATTCCAGACAAAAACTTTCAATTCACTAGTAATATAAGAAAACTTTCTCGATCTGATAAGGCATTTACAAAAAGCTGTAGCTAACAGCACTTTTTAGTTAAAGACTAAGACTAAATGTTATATCCCTAAAATTTGGAACAAAGTAAGAATGTCCATTCTCACACAACTATTAAACATTTTATTAGAAGTCCTAGCCAGTGTAACAAGGCAAGGAAAAGAAATAAAATGTGTACAGATTTGAAAGAATTATATGAAACTATCTATATTTGCAGATCATATTTGATTTGCAGAATTGTCTACATAGAAAATTTCAAGGAATATAAAAAATTTCTTATAACCAATATGTGAGTATCCTAAGGTCAGAAGTTACAAGACCAACCTGTAAAAATCCCTTGTGTGGCCTGGCACAGTGGCTTATACCTGTAATTCCAGAGTTTGGGAGGCCATGGTAGGAGGATTGCCTGAAGCCAGGAGTTTGAGACCAGCCTGGGCAAGATAGATTCTATCTCTACAGAAAAGCAAAAACTAAAACTAAAATAGAGTTGTGTTTTATTATGTTAGCAAATTAAAAATAAGAACCATTACAATAGCTCTAAAACAAACACAAAGACATACTTAGGTATAAATATAACAAAACACATGCATTTTCTGTACGCTGCAAACTCTGCAATGCTGATGAATGAAATAAGTAATTTGTAAATAAATAAGCACATAAACTGTGTTCATGGATTGGACACGTCAATATAGATAGCATGTTAAGTCTCTTCAAATTGATCTTAAATATAATGTAATCCAAATCTTAATTACAGCAGAATTTTTGTTTACATATGAATTAGCTTATTTTAAAAATTATTTTGAAAGGCAAGGAAATTAGAATAATCAGAATAGCACTGAAAAAAAGAATAGAGTTGGAGGTCACACATTATTTTCTTTTAAGACTTTTTATAAAATAAAACTTATCAATACTGTTTGCTGTTGGTGAAGGGGCACACACACGGGCAAATTGAACAGATTAAAAGTCTAGAAATTAACCCATACAAATAAGTCCAATTTATTTTTGACAAAGATACAAAAGTAATTCAATGAATAAAATATAGTCTTTTCATCATTGGAGTTAAAAAAATATTCATATAAAATGAAATTTGATTTTAGCTGTAAATCTTTTCTAAAACTTACCTCAAAATAATACATAGCTTTAAAAATGTATTTTACACAACACATACATACACACACATACACACACACACACCCACACACACACACACAGACACCCCACATAGCATGATAGCATGAGTATAAAGACAAAAACTGAGAGTTTTTTGAGGTAATGTAACTGTTCTGTATCCTGACTGTGTTAGTGGTTGCATGTATCTATACATGTGTTAAAATTCATATTACTCTAAACTAAAAATAAATTTAATTTATTCTGTGTAAACTATAAGGTAAAATTAAATCATAAGAAATTAAAATGAAAGAGAAAAAAACAAACAAAATAGGAAATACAAAGGGACACCAGAGGTACAACCAAAGTAGAACAAGACAAAGGAGGAGGGAAGATAGTAGGGAAAAAGAGACAAATAGGAAAAGACTTAGAAGAAAAGAGAGGCAGAGATGAAGAGAAAGAGAGAGAACAAGCAAATGAGAAATAGGGATATACCTTCGGATAACAATATATGTAGACAAATAAAGAAGGAGGAGAGTGAGAGAGGAAGTTAAAGAAAAGAAGGTTGAAAGGGAGAAATAAAGAAACACACAGAACAAGAAAAGAAAATAAAGAGAAATGGAGTGAGATTGATAGAATCATGAAAGGGAAAAATAAACTGGAAAAGAATGGAGGCAGAGAGAAAGGGATAATTAGAAAGAGACAGAAAAAGGGAGAAAGAGAAGGGGAGGGAAAGTAAAAGAGAAAGAGAAGGATGGTGGAAGAAAGAGGAGAGGAGAGAAGAGAAGAGAGGAGGGAAAATAAATGAAACAGATAAAAGAGAAAGAGAAATGATTAATACAGACTGTTTCAAATATAATATATATTACTTATAGCAAAATCAGAAAGTATAAATAATTGTAATTATAATGAAAAGCTGTTGTGTGTAAGAGCTGTGTTTTCTCCTTCCCTTGCGAATTTTCACCATGGCTAATACAATTCAAATTGAGTGCTAATTAACTGCTGTTTGAGAATCAAGCACTGACAACAGTGAATGGATCTATATAAATTCTGTAAACCTGGACAATTTGCCTCAGTACTTATTTGAAATTTATTTATTATGGATTAAATTACTTACAATAGTTATGCTATAGTTTAAAAAAAAGTATGCATAAATTTGGGAATTACCAATAATACAGGGCCAAGGAAGAGTGAAAACGCAGTCCAGTATAATTCCTAAATTGAACTACAGTGCTCTAAATATAGTTATAGCTCATCCTTTCTTTTTAATTTTTTAATTGGCATATAATGATTGTACAGATTTATGGGGCACCATGTGATATTTTGATACATGTGTACAATGTGTAATGATCAAATCAAAATAATTTGCAAATCCATCACTTCACAAATGTGTTACGACCTTTCAAAATCTTTCTATCTCGGTTTTTTTTTGACAGCTCACTCTCACCCAGGCTGGAGTGCAGTGGCATGATCATATGTCACTGTAGCCTTGAAATCCTGGTCTCAACAAGTAATTCTCCTGTCTCAGCCTCCCGAGTAGCTAGGAGAACATGTGTGTGCCACAATGCCCAGCAATTATTTATTATTATTATTATTATTATTATTATTATTATTCATAGATATAGGCTCTTGCTATGTTGCCCAGGCTGGTTTCAAACTCTCTGCCTCAAGCAATCCTCCCATAATGGCCTTCCAAAGTGCTGGGATTATAGGCATGAGTCACAGTGCCTGGCTTCTAGCTATATGAACAAAACAAAACAACTCTTAAAAAATAACAAAACAATAAATTGCTAACTATAGTAAGCTCACAAAGTTATGAAGCACTAAAATTTATTGATCTTATCTGGCTATAATTTTGTATCCATTAGCCAACCTCTCCTAAGCCCTGTCTTTCCTGTACTCCCCCTACCCTTTAGTAACCACTATTCTACTCCCTACTTCTATGAGATTAAATGTTGTCAAGGATGTGGAATAAAAAGGAACTTATACATGATTGGTGGGAATGTAAACTAGTATAGCCATTATGAAAAACCGTGTGGAAGTTCCTAAAAATACTAAAAATAGAACTATCATATGATCCAACAATCTCACTACTGGGTATATATCCAAAAGAAAGAAAACCAGTATGTCAAAGAGATATTTGTATTGCCATGTTTATTACAGCACTATTCACAATAGGCGAGATGTGGAATCAACAGAATGAACAGATGAATGATAAACAAAATGTGGTAAGTATATACATGATGGAATACTATTTAGCCATATAAAAACAATGAAATTCTGTCATTTGCAGGAACATACATTAGCCTGGATGATATTATGTTAAGTGAAATAAGCCAAGCACAGAAAGGCGAATGCTGCATGTTCTCACTCATATGTAGAGGCATCAATTTTCTATACAAGAGTGAGCATTGGTGCCCAGTAGGAGAGGTTGAAGGCCTAATGTATCCTCATTGTCAATGTTTTGGTAAATATTCCCAGAAAATATTCCCAGAAAATTTGAGCTTATGGTCCTGATGAGGTATATACCTTAACAATGGACCTTGGTCACCAGGTGTAAAGGAAAGTCACAAGCCTGGGTGGGAACTCTTGCTATGAAATGTCTTGTCAGTTCCATACATGTTCTATGTGCTAGGGAAGCAAACGGGCTCTCAATCCCTTTAACTCAGCCATGGCTATAGCAGTAGTTGGAATGGAAGCTCAGTTTTCTGGTGACTAGGGATAAAGAAGTAATGTTATGGGTTTCTAATTAGGGTGATCTCAAGAACAAGGCTGATATGAACAATGCATGACAGAATTCATCAACAGTTATAAATGCTCTCTAATATTAAGTTCTGCAGACAGGAACTTCTATGTGTCTCAGCACCCTACTATTGTGGGTTTTCCTATTATATCTAGTCCTATTGATACAAGCTTTTTGGTGGAGTTGAAGTTGGTAACTATTGCAATAAAATTTGATCTCCAAAATGTTCTGATAGTCCAAAATTCTCCAAGGTATGAATTGTAGGCAGTATCCAGCTATTTACTGTTCCACCCAAAGTACAGATATTTTGAGTTTCTGCTGAGGACCTAGAATAGATGAGTATAAAACATTAAATTGAACTGACATCAATGTGACATCTTTTTATAGAGCCACTAGAGACGACCCATATAGGTCACTTTTGTGAGACATGGCCAGATCTATCATAAAGTAGGCATATGTGCTAAATCTAAGCTAGCCCATTGTCTTTTATCAGTAGGTCATGGCTGGCCCCTCTCACTGGCTTCAGCTTATCATCCAGTCCTACAATGAAAGTGTGTCATTACAGATTATTGCGAATGCTGCTGAGATGAGATTTGAAGACTAGTTATGCCTTTATTGGGTGTAGAGTTTATTGGCTTGGCTAACTGCAAAGCTAAAAAATGTGGGCCACTTCGTTTCTTAAATCTGATGAAATATGCTCTTAGAACTAGGTCAAAGAACAGCATCTTTCCATGACCCCTCTTTGGTGAGATTAAATTGTGTTTTACACAACTAGACTGGCTCCTTAATCTGATGAAGGCTACAAATGGTAGCATTCATTTGCCATGGTACTTTCAGTATGATTATCAGGCATGCTATGAAAGGCATTCAGAAAGCTTTTTCTCCTTTACGTATAACTACTTGATAACACACACTCTGAGGTTCTGCTGAACTGCTTCCAGAGTAGATACTGCAATGGCGTTGGAGAAGCTAAGTCTATAGAAGGTGGGGCCCATAAACCACACAACAAGAGGCCTGCCTTTTTAAAATTGCTTCTAGAAGTTTATGAGATCCTCCTTTCGAATCATGTTCCTCAAATGGATTTATTAGTGAGCAGCCAATAGCTATTAGCCCCAGCATTAGGAATTATGTTGGCTAAGGTAGTATATACAAAATGACCAAAAGCAGGAAGACTCAGAGGTAGTATCCAAACCAAGTTTCAAAATGTTTAGAGGCCCAGTTCTAGAAAGCATGGATTCAGTCATTTAATGTAAAAGATAAAAGCTGGTGAAAATGGGAGATAGTCAAGCAGTTAGCAACTAGGATGAACTGGAATGGAATTGAAGTCAGGTCTGTTTCAGAGGTGGCTCTTCTCAGGTGATGGTTGGAAAAGAGACAAATCCAGCAGAGATCTCAAACTGTCACAAAACTAAATATGTCTGGACTATCAATTGCAGATTTTTTAATGGAAACAAATTAAAAATGTAGTATAAAATTTATGCATTGATTTAAATACTAAGGGAGGCAAAATCAGTTAACACATTGCTTCTCTCTTACCATGAAACTACTGATTGTGTTATATATCTATGGCATTTTTTACCAATCAGTATTTCATTCATGAGCACGCAGTGAAGAAAAAATATAAGAACTATGTTAAGAGAAGAAGAACCTTGGGCATTCATTTTATTATTCAGCATATAGACATCACTTGCTATGTCCCAGTCACAGATAATGAAGTGGACGATGACATAATCTTTGCTGTAAAACATCCTATTATGTAACAGGGTTTAGAAAATTCATGCACAGAAATGAAGTTGTAAGCTTATAAAATGTACAAGACTGATCCAGTTCAATGAGTACTTGTTCTCATCAAAGGAAAAGGCTGGGGAAATTGGAAAGTTTTTCCTGAGATGCTGCTATTGCTCAAAGCATTTTTGAAATTTTTTTCTTGACATTCCTTAAGAACTTTTGGCATATTTTTCTGAACAATTTCAGTGGGATAAATTTATAGTGTAAGAATGTGGATATGATTTTTAGAAATAGTGAAAAGATGTATGGAGGAAAGACAGTGACAATAGAAGCTTGAAGATGGAAAAAAGTACCAGGAGAATAACAATGGACAAATGGCTTGAGGTTTTACAGGCAAAAAGAAAATGAATTTTGGTAATATCGCTCAGAAAATTTTGATACGCTTGGCTCTATGACAAAACTATAGAATGGATTATCAATCAGATGGTTTGTAAGCACTTAGGAAATAACATAGTGATTACTAGCAGGAAGCTTAATTTTTTAACTGAGTTCATTGGCATCTATGTCTCCAGTAGCACTAATAGAATGGCTTAATTAGAGTACTGGTAAATATGCAAAAGAAAGATACTTAACATTTATTAAATGTCTACTAGATATTTCGCCCTGTGCTAGGCACTTTACATGCTTCATATTATTTCCTCATCACCAGCATCCTGCAAGGTAGATATGATCACTGCTATTTTACTGATAAAGAAGTTGAGGTTCAATGAATTTAAATAATGTCTTGCATAACTAATAACTCTCAAATTGAGCTCAAGTTTATCTGACTACAAAATTCGAGTGCTTTTTATTTTAAAAATTACATAATATTTCAAGCATACAGAAAAGTACAGTGGTTAGTATAACCAATACCCACCTAGATGCCCTCAACATTTTCTAATATGTTAGCCATTTCAAATATGTTAGAAAATGTTAACCTTTCACATATTTGCTTCCAATTTTTAAAGAAAGAAACATTACAAATACAATTGAAGTTCCCTTCTACTTTTCACCATTCCTTTCTTTTGTTTCTCCTTCAGGGGCAACTGTTATCTTGAAGTTGATGTGAATTATATCTATCCATGCTATTTATATTTTTGTGTATGTATTCACATGTTATTTGTTTTTTTATGTTTTATAACGTACTTCAATTACATTATATTGTATATATTCTTGTAGAAATTCCTTTTCTCATTCAGTATTGTTATTCAGATATATTCATGTTGATACATGTGGTTCTATTTCAATTTTTTCAGTGGCTGTACCATATTTTACTGTATTATTTTAAGCCATATTTTTATTTTAGTTTCTCCCCAAATTTCCACTGTGGCAAAAAATGTGACAATAAATATTTACATATATGTTTTCTTTGTACGCATGTAATAGAGGTTCTTTATGTACCATAGAGTGGTATTGGTGAATTGTTGGTTATGTAGATTTCATGTTTATTAGATATTTTTTCAAATTGTTCACCAAAATTGTTAACTAATTTACCATCCTTTTAGTGTTGTTAATTTTTTTAAATTTTGCCAGTACTATGGGTTTGGACAAATATGTGATTGTTATATAAACTTGCTTCTTTCTGATTAGTAAAGCTGATCTTTTCTTACACTTACTGCTTATTTAGATTGCTTCCTTTATAAATTACCCATAATGTGTTTATTTTCATATATATTCTTTAACTTATTGGTTTCTATAAGTTAAGTTTTATAGATTGAAAATATTTTATCCTAGATTCTAGCATGCATTTTCAGTCTGTTTATAACATTTTTCCATGAAGATTTTTTTGTAAAAATGTAATCAAATTTATTAATATTTTCTTTTATGGTTTGTGCTCATTATGTCTTACTCATGAAATCTCCTTCTTTATCTTGATATGTATATTCTTGCACTTTTTAATAAAAGAGCTATCTTTTTACCTTTTTCTTTGATGTCTTCAGTAAATATGGTATTCACTTTTGTGGGATGTGTGAGCTAAAAATTAATTTTAGTATATTTCATATAGATAGCCAATCACTCCAAAATTTGATACTGCACAGAACTTTTTTCCCTACCAGTCACTAATTCCACCTCTTTGATAATAACTATATTTATATATGTATATATGCAGAAATATATTCATGTTTTTGGACTCTGTAGTTTGTTCCATTAATCTTGTAATATAAACATATGCAAATACCATTTTTTAAAAAATTAATTATAGCTTTATGACATATCTGGATAGCTGGTAGGAAAATATCTCTACTTTTTGTTTTTCTTCAAACTTGTTTGGTCTATTCTTGCACACTACATTTTCAAGTAAAGTTTAGAAACAATTTTCCTAGTAAATTCTATTATGATTTGAATTGGAATTGCAATTAATTTAGGACACTAAAGAGGAGATGATTATCATCTCTATGAAATTAATTTTTTCATTTAGACACATGAATATCTCCATTGATTCAGGTATTTTTAAAAATATATTTCTTTTTATTTTATTATTTTATTTTATTTTATTTTATTTTATTTTATTTTATTTTATTTTATTTTATTTTATTTTATTTAGAGATGGAGTCTCGCTTAATCTCGCCTCACTGCAACTTCTGCTTCCCTGGTTCAAGTAATTCTCCTGCCTCAGCCTCCAGAGTAGCTGGTGTTACAGGTGCACACCACCATGCCCAATTAATTTTTGTATTGTAGTAGAGATAGGGTTTCACCATGTTGGCCAGGCTAGTCTCGAACTCCTGACTTCAAGTGATCCAGCCGCCTCGGCCTCCCAAAGTGCTGGGATTACAGGCATGAGCCACTGTGCCTGGCCATAAAAAAATATATTTAAACATTCTCTTTACATCTTGTCATTTAGCATAAGGATCATATCTCTATTGAAAATAAAAATATATTGATAGCAATGTGTCTTTGTGTCTTCTACAGTATTTATTACATTGTTAGATACATGAGAATTAAATACAATAGTTTATACTTGAATTTAATATGACAGTTGACAATGTGGTTCTTACATTATACTCACCACAATTCCCTAATACTAGATAAAAACATTTTCCATGAGAAAACTGAGATGATTATAAACATCAAGACAAAAATAGCAAATAAATTATTTGCCATTTAATGTTAGATAACAGAGTTAATTCCGTGTGGTAAAGAAGTTGTTCATGCCTAATTTAAGGCAAATTTAAGTTATGTACTATTTTGTTGTTTTTGTTGTTGAATTTATTTATGTATTTAGCTTTTATTATTATTTTAGTTGGCACATTAATTGTCCCTATTTGAGGTACAGTGTAATTTTTAATACATGTGTACAATGCGTAATGATTGAGTCAGGGAAATCAAAATATTACTTCAAAAATTTACTATTTTTATGTGTTGAGAATATTCAAAATGATCTTTTCTAGCTATTTGAAAATATACAATAAATTATCATGAACTGTAATCACCCTAAGTGTTATAAAACACTAAAATGTATTACTCCAATTTTTATCAGCTAACCAATTCCCCCTATCCTCTATACCCCTTCCCCACTTCCAGCCTTAAATAACCACTATTATAATCCCTGCATCTATCAGATCCTTTTTATAGCTTCCATATATGAGTGGTAATGTGCAGTGTTTATCTTTCTATGCCTAGCTTATTTCACTTAAAATAAAGTGATTATGTTTTTTCTGAATGGCAGGCTTTCATTTTTATGGCTAAATAGTATTCCATTGAGTTCATATACTATATATTCTGTTTTCTAAATTTTAACTTTTATTTTAGGTTTTGAGGGTACATACGTAGGTTTTAAATATGAACATTTTGCATGATGCTGAGGTTTGGGGTATGAATGATCCCACCAACAAGTACTAAGTGTATTACCGAATAAGTAGTTTTTCACCCTTGACCTCACTGTCCCTTTTCTCTTTTGTAGTCTCCAGTGTCTATTGTACCCATTGTTATGTTCACCTGTTGTCAATGTTTTACTCACACTCATAAGTGAAAAAATGTGGTTTTTCATTTTCTATTTCTTCATTAATTCACTTAGAATATTATCTTCTAGCTGCATCCATGTTGCTACAAAATATATATATATATATATTTTGTTTAATGGCTGCATAGTATTTCATGTTGTTTATATACCATATTTTCTTTATGCAGTCCACCATGGATGAGAAACTAGGTTGATTTTATATGTTTGCTTTTGTGAATGGTGCTGCAATGAGCATACCTGTGCATGTGTCTTTTTGTTAGAACAATTTATTTTCTTTTGGATATGTATCCAGAAAAGGGATTGTTGGGTCAAATGGTAGATTGTTGAGAAATCTGCCAGCTTCTTTCCACAGTGGCTGAATTAATTTACATTCTGACCAAGTAAATAAAGTGTTCCCTTTTCTCTGCAGCCTCACCAGCATAGGTTTTTTTTTTCTTATTAATAATAGCCATTCTGACTGGAATGAGATGGTATCTCATTATTGCTTTGATTTGCATTTCCCTGATGATTTAGTGATCTTGAGCATTTTTTACATGTTTCTTATGTGCTTGTACGTTTTCTATTGAAAAGTGCTTGTTTATGTCTTTTGCCCAAGTTTTCATGAGGTTATTTTTCTGTTTGTTTCTTTTGGTTTTTCAGTAGTTTAATTTCCTTATAGATTCTGGATATTAAACATTTGTCAGATGCGTTGTTTGTGAATATTTTCTATCATTCTGTAAGTTATCTTTCTATTCTGTTGGTGGTTTCTTTTCCTGTGCAGAAACTCTTTAGTTTCATTAGGTCCCACTTCTCAATTTTTATTTTTGTTGCAATTGCTTTTGGGGACTTTGTCATAAATTCCTTGCCAAGGCTGATGTTCATAATGGTGTTTGCTACGTTTGCTTCTAGAATTTTTATAGTTTTAGGTCTTAGATTTAAGTTTTTAACTTATATTTAGTTAATTTTTTTATATAGGGGAAAAATAGAGGTTCAGTTTCTTTCTTACGCATATGGCTAGCCAGTAATCTCAGCACCCTTTATTGAATAGTCTTCCCCAGTACTTACTTTTGTCAACTTTCTCAAATATCAGTTTGTTGTAGGTATGTGGCTTTATTTCTGTATTGTCTATCCTATTCTCTTATTCTACGTGACTATTTTTGTACCAGTACCATGATGTTTCGGTTACTATAGCCTTATAGTATTGTTTGAAGTCAGGTTATTTGTTGCCTCCAGCTTTGATCTTTTTGCTCAGAATTATTTTGGCTATTCAGCCTCCTTTGTGTTTCCATATGAATTTTATATTTTTTTTATTCTCTGAAAAACAAAGTTGGTAGTTGGATAGGGAGAGTTGAATCTGTGTATTGCTTTGGGCATTATGGCCATTTTGATGATAATGATACTTCCAATCCATGAGCATGTTATGTGTTTCCATTTGTTTGTGTCATCCATGATTTCTTTCAGCAGTGTTTTGTACATCTCCTTGTAGAGATCTTTCACTGCCTTGGTTAGATGCATTCCTACGTATTTCCTTTTTTGGTGGCTATTGTGAAGGGGATTTCCTTCTGGATTTGAATCGCAGCTTGAATGTTATTGGTATATAAAAATGGTACTGATTATCATTTGTTGACTTTGTATCTAGTAAATTTACTGAAGTAATTTATCAGTTTTTAAAATCCTCGGTGGAGTCTTTAGGTTTCTCGAAATGTAGAATGAAATATCCACAAGGAGAGATAATTTGACTTATACATGTATTTTTCTATTTGGATCCTTTTTTTTTTTACTTGCATGTTTGCTCTAACTAGGATATCCAGTACTGTGTTGAAAAAGAATGATAAGATGCAACCTACTCATCTGACAAAGGGCTAATATCTAGAATCTACAATGAACTCAAACAAATTTACAAGAAAAAAGCAAACAACCCCATCAAAAAGTGGGCAAAGGATATGAACAGACACTTCTCAAAAGAAGACATTTATGCAGCCAAAAAGCACATGAAAAATGCTCATCATCACTGGCCATCATAGAAATGCAAATCAAAACCACAGTGATATACCATCTCACACCAGTTAGAATGGTGATCATTAAAAAGTCAGGAAACAACAGGTGCTGGAGAGGATGTGGACAAATAGGAACACTTTTACACTGTTGGTGGGACTGTAAACTAGTTCAACCATTCTGGAAGTCAGTGTGGTGATTCCTCAGGGATCTAGAACTAGTAATACCATTTGACCCAGCCATCCCAGTACTGGGTATATACACAAAGAATTATAAATCAAGCTGCTATTAAGACACATGCACACGTATGTTTATTGCAACACCATTCACAATAGCAAAGATGTGGAACCAACCCAAATGTCCAACAATGATAGACTGGATTAAGAAAATGTGGCACATATACACCATGGAATACTATGCAGCCATAAAAAAGGATGAGTTCGTGTCCTTTGTAGGGACATGGTTGAAGCTGAAGACCATCATTCTCAGCAAACTATTGCAAGGACAAAAAACAAACACTGCATGTTCTCACTCATAGGTGGGAATTGAACAATGAGAACACTTGGACACAGGAAGGGGAACATCACACACCGGGGACTGTTGTGGGGTGGGGGGAGGGAGGAGAGATAGCATTAGGAGATATACCTAATGCTAAATGATGAGTTCATGGGTGCAGCACACCAACATGGCACATGTATACATATGTAACAAACCTGCACGTTGTGCACATGTACCCTAGAACTTAAAGTATAATAATAATAAAATTTTTTTAAAAAAGAAAAAGAATGGTGAGAGTGGGCATCCTCGCTTCATTCCTGTTCTTAAGGGAAATGCTTCCAGCTCTTGACTGTTTGGTATGAAGTTGGCTAGTGGATCCTCATAGACGGCTCTTGTTATATTGAAGAACATTCCTTTGATGACTAGTCTGTTGAGAATTTTCAACATGAAGGAATCTTGAATTTTGTAAGAGCTTTTACTGTGTCTATGGAGTCGATTCTATGGTTTTTGTTTTAATTCTGCTTATGTGATAAATCACATTTATTGATTTGCATATATATATGTATTTTTTCAGTTTTTATTATTATACTTTAAGTTCTAGGGTACACGTGCACAACTTGCAGGTTTGTTACATATGTATACGTGTGTCATGTTGGTGTGCTGCACCCATTAACTCGTCATTTACATTAGGTATATCTCCTAATGCTTTCCCTCCCTGCTCCCTCCACCCCATGACAGGGCCTGGTGTGTGATGTTCCCCTTCCTGTGTTCAAGTGTTCTCATTGTTCAATTCCCACCTATGAGTGAGAACATGTGGTTTATGGCTTTTTGTCCTTGAGATAGTTTGCTGAGAATGATGGTTTCCAGCTTCATCCATGTCCCTACAAAGGACATGAACTCATCCTTTTTTATGGCTGCATAGTAGTCCATGGTGTATATGTGCCACATTTTCTTAATCCAGTCTATCATTGTTGGACATTTGGGTTGGTTCCAAGTCTTTGCTATTGTGAAGATTGCCGCAATAAAGATACGTGTGCATGTGTCTTTATAGCAGCTTGATTTATAATCCTTTGTGTATATACCCAGTAATGGGATGGCTGGGACAAATGGTATTTCTAGTCTAGTTCTATATCCTTGAGGAATTGCCACACTGTCTTCCAGAATGGTTGAACTAGTTTACAGTCCCACCAACAGTGTAAAACTGTTCCTATATGTCCACATCCCCTCCAACACCTGTTGTTTCCTGACCTTTTAATGATCCCCATTCTAACTAGTATGAGATGGTATCTCGTTGTGGTTTTGATTTGCATTTCTCTGATGGCCAGTGATGATGAACATTTTTTCATGTGTCTGTTGGTTGCATAAATGTCTTCTTTTGAGAAGTGTCTGTTCATATACTTCGCCCACTTTTTGATGGGGTTGTTTGTTTTTTTCTTGTAAATTTGTTTGAGTTCTTTGTAGATTCCGGATATTAGCCCTTTGTCAGATCTGTAGATTGCAAAAATTTTCTCCCATTCTGTAGGTTGCCTGTTCACTCTGATGGTAGTTTCCTTTACTATGCAGAAGTTCTTTAGTTTAATTAGATCCCATTTGTCAATTTTGACATTTGTTGCCATTCCTTTTGGTGTTTTAGACATGAAGTCCTTGCCCATGCCTATGTGCTAAATGATATTGCCTAGGTTTTCCTCTAGGATTTTTATGGTTTCAGGTCTAACATTTAAGTCTTTAATCCTTCTTGAATTAATCTTTGTATAAGGTGTAAGGAAGGGATCCAGTTTCAGCTTTCTACATATGGCTAGCTAGTTTTCCCAGCACCATTTATTAAATAGGGAATCCTTTCCCTATTTCTTGTTTTTGTCAGGTTTGTCAAAGATCAGATGGTTGTAGATATGTGGTATTATTTCTCAGGGCTCTGTTCTGTTCCATTGGTCTATATCTCTGTTTTGGCACCAGTACCATACTGTTTTGGTTACTGTAGCCTTGCAGTATAGTTTGAAGTCAGGTAGCGTGGTGCCTCCAGCTTTGTTCTTTTGGTTTAAGATTGTCTTGGCAATGCAGGCTATTTTTTATTCCCATATGAAGTTTAAAGTAGTTTTTTCCAAATCTGTGAGGAAAGTCATTGGCAGCTTGATGGAGATGGCATTGAATCTATAAATTACCTTGTGCAGTATGGCCATTTTCATGATATTGATTCTTCCTATCCATGAGCATGGAGTGTTCTTCCATTTGTTTGTATCCTCTTTTATTTCATTGAGCAGTGGTTTGTAGTTCTCCTTGAAGAGGTCCTTCACATCCCTTGTAAGTTGGATTCCTAGGTATTTTATTCTCTTTGAAGCAATTGTGAATGGGAGTTCACTCATGATTTGGCTCTCTGTTTGTCTGTTATTGGTGTATAAGAATGCTTGTGATTTTTGCACATTGATTTTGTATCCTGAGACTTTGCTGAAGGTGCTTAGCAGCTTAAGGATATTTTGGCCTAAGACGATGAGGTTTTCTAAATATCCTATCATGTCATCTGCAAACAGGGACAATTTGACTTCCTCTTTTCCTATTTGAATATCCTTTTTTTCTTTCTCCTGCCTGATTGCCCTGGCCAGAACTTCCAACACTACGTCGAATAGGAATGGTGAGAGAGGGCATCCCTGTCTTGTGCCAGTTTTCAAAGGGAATGCTTCCAGTTTTTGCCTATTCACTATGATATTGGCTGTGGGTTTGTCATAAATAGCTCTTATTATTTTGAGATACGTCCATTCAATACCTAATTTATTGAGAGTTTTTAACATGAAGGGCTGTTGAATTTTGTCAAAGGCCTTTTCTGCATTTATTGAGATAATCATGTGGTTTTTGTCTTTGGTTCTCTTTATCTGATGAATTACATTTATTGATTTGTGTATGTTGAACCAGCCTTGCATCCAAGGAATGAAGCCCACTTGATCATGGTGGATAAGCTTTTTGATGTGCTGCTGGATTCAGTTTGCCAATATTTTACCGAGGATTTTTGCATCGATGTTCATCAGGCATATTGGTCTAAAATTCTCTTTTTTTGTTGTGTCTCTGCCAGGCTTTTGTATCAGGATGATGCTGGCCTCAAAAAATGGGTTAGGGAGGATTCCCTCTTTTTCTATTGATTGGAATAGTTTCAGAAGGAATGGTACCAGCTCCTCCTTGTACCTCTGGTAGAATTCGGCTGTGAATCCATCTGGTCCTGGACTTTTTTTTGTTGGTAGGCTCTTAATTATTGCCTCAATTTTAGAGCCTGTTATTTGTCTATTCGGGGATTCAACTTCTGACTTGTAAGGAACTGCTAACCAACGTACATTACAAGTGGTGGTTCAAGAAGTTTTGCAAAGGCTATGAGATCCTTGAAGATAGGGAGTGTACTGACTGCCCATTGAAAGTTGACAATGACCAGTTGATCACAATCATCGAAGCTGATCCTCTTACAACTACATAAAAGTTGCTGAAGAAGTCAACATTGATCTTTCTACAGTCATTTGGCATTTGAAGCAAATTGGAAAGGTGAAGAAGCTCGATAAATGGGTGTCTCATGAGCTGAGAAAAAATAAAAAATCATCGTTTTGAAGTCTCATCTTCTTTTATTCTATGCAACAACAATAAACCATTTTTTAATCAGATTACTATGTGTGATGAAAAGTGGATTTTATATGACAACCAGCAACAACCAGCTCAGTGGTTGGACTGAGACAAAGAGCCAAAGCACTTCCCAAAGCCAAACTTGCACCAAAGGTCATGGTCACTGTTGGTTCTGCGCCTAATCTGACCCACTACAGCTTTCTGAATCCTGGTGAAACCATTAAATCTGAGAAGTATACTCAGCAAATCAGTAAGATGTACTGAAAACTGCAAGTCCTACAGACAGCATTAGTCAACAGAAGGGGCTTAATTCTTGTCCATGACAATACCAGATCACACGTTGCACAACCAGTACTTCAAAAATTGAACAAATTGGGCTACAAAATTTTGCTACATTTGCCATATTCACCTGACATCTTGCCAACTGACTACCGCTTCTTCAAGCATCTTGACAATTTTTGCATGGAAAATGCTTCCACAAACACCAAGATGCAGAAAATGCTTTCCAAGAGTTTATCAAATCCTGAAGCACGGAGTTTTACACTACAGCAATAAACAAACTTATTTAACAGTGGCAAAAAATGTATTGATTTTAATGGTTCCTATTTTGATTAATAAAGATGTGTTAGAGCCTAGTTATAATGATTTAAAATTAATGATGTGAAACCACAAGTACTTTTGCCCATTCAATGGAATACTATTTGGCTACAAAGAGCAAGGAATCCTGCCATTTGCAATAACATGGATGAACCTGAAGGTCATTATATGAAGTAAGATAAGCCAGACACAGAAAGAGAAGTACTGTATGATCTCACTTATATTTGGAACTTAAAATAAAGGCAAACTCATGGAAGCAGAGAGTATAATAGTGGCTGCCAAAGGCTTGGGTATGGGATAAATTATAAATGTTAGTCAAAGGGTAGAAATTTTTAGTTACAAGATGAATAATTTCTGGACATCTTATGTACAGCATGATGACTATTGATAATAATAATGTATACTTAATTTTTTCTAGGAGAGTAGAACTTAATGTACTTACCACATATACAAATGGATGAATATGTTAACTATGATATTAACATAAGATGAATATATTAATTAATTTGATTTTGGCAATTATTGCATTATATATAATTATATATATAATTATCATATTGTGTAATTTGATTCTATACAACTTAAAATTGTTAATTATATTTCAATACAGCTGGGGAAAAATTTTAAAACAAAATAAAGTTGCAGACATAGAAGCAACATACCAATCATTACATTGAATGTAAAAGGTATAAACCCACCAATTAAAAGACAGAGATTGGCAGAGTTGATTCAAAAATAAAACAGGATGTAACTCTACACTATCTATAAGAAACTCACTGCAATCTCAATGACATAAATAGGTTGAAAGCAAAAAAATTAAAAGAGGCATATTAGCAAAAAGAGTGGGTATTTTAATATAAAACAAACAAAGAAGCTTCCTAGGTGTAAAATACACTATTTAATCATAATAGGATTAATCTACCAAGAATGTATTGTAATTTAAAATTGTGTGCACCCAAAAAAAAAACACTTAAAAATACATACAGCAAAATTTGAGAGAGCTAAATCAGTAATTTAAAAATCCAGAAATGAAGACTTCAGTAACTCACACCTAGCCATTGGTATAACTACTAGTCAGAAAATCATCAATGGTATAGAAGAACTGGACAATACCAACATCCATCAGAACCAAATTAACATTTATAAAACACTCCACTTTACAACAGAAAAGTACACATTCTTTTCCAAGCACCCGTGGAACATTCACCAAGCTAGAACATATTTTTGATCATGCTACTAAACTTAACAAATGCAGAAAACATTTATATTGTACAGAATATGTTTTCTGATCAAAACAATGAAAGTAGAAATTAATAACCTAAAGACAATGGGAAAAATCTGCAAGTACTAGGAAATTAAGCAAGACATGTCTAAATAATCTATGACTCAAAGAGAAAGTATAAAAGAAAACTAAAAAATATATAGAACTGAATGAAAATGAAAACTAAATACATTTTTAAATGTGAGAGTTGCAGCTAAAGGAGTGCTGAGAAAGAAATTTATGCCACGAAATGCTTACGTTAGAAAAGAGCAATAATCTCAAATTAATAATCTTAGTTCTGCTGTTTTTGTTGTTTTTTCATTTTTTTTGTTTTGTCTTTTCTGGCTTCTAAAGCCTCTTCTAATTTCTTGGTTTATGGCCTCCTTCCATGTTCAAAGGCAGAAATGGCATCTGTGCAACCTTTATTACCATAATCATGTCTCTTCTTTTGACTCTGACTCCTTTGCCTACCTATTTTACTTATAAGGATCTTTGTGATTACGTTTGGCCTTTTTAGATAATTCAAGATAATCTCCCTTTTTCAAGGTAAAATTATTATCACTTATACTTCTGTCTGCAAATATGAATTTCCCTTGCTCTTTAACGTAACATATTCTTAGATTCTGGCAATTAGTATGTGGACATCTTTGAAGGGTGGCAGTGGTAGTCATTATTATTCCTATCATACTCCCATATCAGACAAAGGACTTCTATCTAGAACATAAAAATAAGTATTAAAACTCAACATTAAAAATAAAATTATCAAAAATTCAACTTATATGTATAGCAAATAAGCACATTAAATGATGTGCAATATCATTAGCCATTAGGAAATTGCAAGGTACCATCATAAGGAAATATCAGTGCATATCTATGACAACGAATAAAATAAAAAAAGACGATGATAACACTAAAATAATTTTGTAAAGAATTTTAAGAATCTAAGTCACTAATACATTGCTGGTCAAAATGTAGAAAGCCACTCTGCAAAATGGTTTTAAAACTAAAAATGAATTTACCAAATGTCTCAACAATTGCACTATTAAGCATATATCCCAGAGAAATAAAACCGTATTCTTATAAGGAATATTTTACACAAATATTCATAGCAGTTTTATTTGTAATAATGCCAAACTATAAAATACCCAAATGTCCTTCAATAGGTGAATATTTAAACAAACTGTAATATACTAGGGAATGCTACTCAGCAATTAAAAGGAATTGAGCCATTGATATATGGAACAACTTGTTTGTAACTCAAGTTATGCTGAGTGAAAAAAGTCAATCTTGAATGGATACATATTGCATGATTACATTTATTTAACATTTGTAAAATAATATAATTGTAGAGTTGGAGAACAGATTAGTGGTTGCCAGTGGTTAAGGAGAAGTGGGGTTTTTATGGTGCGATTATAACAGAGTAGCACCCAGGAATCATGTACTAACGGTAGAGTTAAGTATCTGGATTGTGGAGGAGGTTATATAAAGATACACATGTGCTAAATTGCATAGAGGTACACACACACACACACACACACACACACACACACACATGAAAACACTCATAATTCAAGTGTCAAGAAGATTTAGTTTTAAATCCTGACCCACTAGTAGTGTATTATCTTTGACAGATGCATAAGCTTTTGAAACCTGAGTTTTCTCATTACTAACTATACTTTAGTCTTAGGCACTTTAAAAGTTTTCTGTCATCAAATGAGATTAATTTTTTTGAGTGCTTAGTATAGTAGCAGACACACTATAAGTGCAAAATACATCTTAGCATAAATAGATGCCATGTTTTCTATAAACTTCATCATCAGAATCACATAATAGTCTACCTGTACCAGCACTTATAATAGAGACATGGAGCTTGAACATTATTCTGAGGCCAAAAGAACAAAGATAACGTTGAAGGAAAGTTTGACTTTTTTCCCATATTCTTTCTCCTTATAGAAATTATAACATTGCTCACGAAAACATATATTTATTTACAAAAATAATAAAGTGCTATTATTTCTATCTAACAAAATGGATAACTCTACAGATGATATATGGAGAAATATAAATATTTTAGTTTTAGAAAATACCTTTGAGAACATTTGGTCTAACCAGTTTATTTCACAGATGATACGGTATACCTAGCTGAAAAAGTGACTAAGGTAACTTAGCCAAGGGCCAAGAATAGAATCAAACTCAGATCTTCCCAACTCTCTGCATAGAATTTATTATTTAGCAAAAAATACAGTCAGTAAAGGCAACAATTTGTACATTTTCCCTATTTCTCCCATTTGTCTCAGTTTGGTATTGCTTTTTAATGTAACACAGTTTCTTAACTATAGTGAACTAAATGTGGTCAAAAGACCCATTATTTAGACATCATGAATATCCCTATGGCTAAATGCTGACAAATGTGTGAATCCTTTTCATTGGAAGCTTATGATTTATACTGCCTTAACTTGAATTATTTTTTAAGAGAGAAGGTTCAAATATGTATAATCGTAAATGACAAAAGTGGCATTACAAATAATCTCCCAGAAATATAAAAGATCCTAGGAGAAAATTATGAACACCTCTATGAACACAAACTAGTAAATCTAGAGAAAATAGTAAAATACTTGGAAACATACCACTGCCAAAGATTAAATAAAAAGGAAATTAAAACCCTGAACAGACTAATAATGAGTTCCAAGAATGAATTACTAATAAAAAAAATATGAAACCAAAAAGCCCCAGACCACATGGATTCACATTTGAATTCTGCCAAATGTACAAAGAAGAGATGGGACAAATTCTACAGAAATTATTCCAGAAATTTAAGCAGAGGAATGGGTCCTTAACTTAATGTCTAAATTGAGCATTATTCTGATACCAAAACCTGATAAAAACTCAACGAATAAAAGAAAAATACAGACTTGTATTCCTGATTAACATACATTCAAATTTTTCAACAAAATACTAGCAAACCAAATCCAGCAATACATCAAACAATTAACCCACCAAGATCTTTATATCTTTATAACCCACCAGATACTTTATATCTGGGATGCAAAGTTGTTTCAAAATATGAAAATCAATAAACATGTTTCACCATACAAACAGAATTAAAAACAAATATCATGATCATCTCAGTAGATGTGGAAAAAGCTTTCATTAAAATTCAACATGCCTTTGTGATAAAAACCTGCAACAAACTAGGCATTGAAGGAACGTACTTCACAATAATGACAGCCACATATGACAAACACACAAGTGTCATACTGAATGGACAAAAGCTAAAAGCATTTCCCTTAAGAACAGGAAAAAGACAAGGAAACACCCTATCACGCACCTATTCAATATGTTATTAAAAGTACTACCCAAAGCAATCAGGCAAGAGAAAACAATGAAAGACATCCAAATTGGAAAAGGAATCAAATTATTTATCTTGACTGTCAATGTAATTCTTTTCTTTTCTTTTAGAAAAGCCTAAGGGCCCCACCAAGTGCTCCTGGATCTAATAAATGATTTTAATAAAGTTTAAGAATACAAAATGAATGTAAAAATAGCAGCTTTTTTTTTTTTTTTTTTTTTTTTTTGATGGAGTCTCACTCTGTCTCCCAGGCTGGAGTGCAGTGGTGTGATCTTGGCTCGCTGCAACCTCTGCCTCCCAGGTTCAAGCGATTTTCCTGCCTCAGCCTCCCGAGTAACTGGGATTACAGGCACACACCACCATGGCCGGCTAATTTTTGCATTTTTAGTAGAGACGGAGTTTCACCGTGTTGCCCAGGCTGGCCTTGAACTCCTGACCTCAGGTGATCAGCTGGCCTTTGTCTCCCAAAGTGCCGGGATTACAGACTTGAGCCACCGTGCCCAGCCAAAAAATAGTAGCATTTCTGTATACCAACAATGTTCCGGCTGAGAGCCAAATCAAGAATAAAATTTTAGGGGACAGGCACAGTGGCTCATGCGTGTAATTCCAGCACTTTGGGAGGCCAAGGCAGGTGGATCACCTGAGGTCTGGAGTTTGAGACCAGTCCAGCCAACATGGTGAAACCCCGTCCCTACTAAGAATACAAAAATTAGCTGAGCGTGGTAGCGGGCACCTGTAATTCCAGCTATACAAGAGACGGAGACACGAGAATCGCTTGAACCCAGGAGACAGAGGTTGCAATCAGCCCATATCGCGCCACTGTGCCCCAGCCTAGAGACAGGGCAAAAATCTTTCTCAGAAATAAAATAAAATAAAATAAAATAAAATAAAATAAAATAAAATAAAATAAATAAAATAAATAAAATTTACAATATCCACAAATATAAACTCAGGAATACACCTAACCAAGGAGGTAAAAAATCTCTAAAATGAGAATTACAAGACACTGCTGAAAGAAATCATGTATGACACAAACAACTGAAAAACCTTTCCTGCTCATGGATTGGAAGAATCAATATTGTCAAAATGGCCATATTTCCTAAAAGCAATCTACAGATTCTAATCTATTCCTATGAATATATCAACATCACTTTGCAGAGAATTAGAAAAATTATAAAATTCACATGGAAACAAAAAAGACAATAGCAAAACCAAAGCTAAGCAAAAAGAACTAAGCCAGAGGTGTCAAATTACCTGACTTCAAACAACACTTTAAGGCCACAGTAACCAAAACAACACGATCCTGCTAGAAAAACACACATAGACTAATGGAACAGGAAAGCGAACTCAGAAATGAAGTTGGAAAACTACACCTATTTGATCTTCAGCAAAGTCAGAAAAAATAAGCAATGGGGAACAGACATCCTATTCAATAAATAATTCTGGGATAGCTGCCAAGTCATATGCAGAAGAATAAAATGGGACATTTTACTTTTTACCACGTGCAAAAATTAACTCAAGATGAATTAAATATTTAACTGTAAGATCTCAAACTACAGAAATTCTAGAAACAAACTTAGAAAATAACCTTCTAAACACTGGCCTTTGGAAAGAATTTATGACAAAGTCCTCAAAAGCAATTGTTACAAAACCAAAGCTTGACAAGTGTGACCTAAGTAAATATAAGACTTTCTGGGCAGGAAAATAAAATATTACCAGAGTAAACCAACAACCCTCAGAATGGGAGGAAATTTTTGCATACTGCATTCATCAAAGATCTACTATCCAGAATCTATAAGAAACTTAAGAGAAGACATTTATGCAGCCAAAAAACACATGAAAAAATGCTCACCATCACTGGCCATCCGAGAAATGCAAATCAAAACCACAATGAGATACCATCTCACACCCGTTAGAATGGCAATCATTAAAAAGTCAGGAAACAACAGGTACTGGAGAGGATGTGGAGAAATAGGAACACTTTTACACTGTCGGTAGGACTGTAAACTAGTTCAACCATTCTGGAAGTTGGTGTGGCGATTCCTCAGGGATCTAGAACTAGAAATACCATTTGACCCAGCCATCCCATTACTGGGTATATACCCAAAGAATTATAAACCATGCTGCTATAAAGATAACATGCACACGTATATTTATTGTGGCACTATTCACAATAGCAAAGACTTGGAACCAACCCAAATGTCCAACAATGATAGACTGGATTAAGAAAATGTGGCACATATACACCATGGAATACTATGCAGCCATAAAAAATGAAGAGTTCGTGTCCTTTGTAGGGATATGGGTGAAGCTGGAAACCATCATTCTCAGCAAACTATCACAAGGACAAAAAAACAAACACTGCATGTTCTCACTCATAGGTGGGAATTGAACAATAAGAACACATGGACACAGGAAGGGGAACATCATACACCAGGGAATGTTGTGGAGTGGGGGGAGGGGGGAGGGATAGCATTAGGAGATATACCTAATGCTAATTGACGAGTTAATGGGTGCAGCACACCAACATGGCCCATGTATACATATGTAACAAACCTGCAAGTTGTGCACATGTACCCTAAAACTTAAAGTATAATAATAAAAAAAATGAACAAACAAAAAACTATCAACTCCATCAAAAAGTGGGCAAAACACATGAACAAACACTTCTCAAAAGAAGACATACAAGTGGCCAACAAATATATAAAAAATACTCAAAGTCTCTAATTGTCAGATAAATACAAATCAAAACCACAATGAGATAGTATGTTGTGCCAGTAAGAATGACCATTATTAATAAGTTAAACATAACAGATGCTGGTGAGGTTGAGGAGAAAAGGGAATGCTTATGCACAATTGCTGGAAATGCAAATTAGTTCAGTCACTGTGGAAAGCTGTTTTGAGAATTCTCAATGAAGTTAATATGAAGGGTTGTTGAATTTTGTCAAAGGCCTTTTCTGCACCCACAGAGATAATCACATGGTTTTTGTCATTGGTTCTGTTTATATGCCATATTATGTTTATTGACTTGCGTATGTTGAACCAGCCTTGCATCCCAGGGATGAAGCCCACTAGATCATGGTGGATAAGCTTTTGGATGTGCTGCTGGATTCAGTTTGCCAGTATTTTATTGAGGATTTTTGCATCTATGTTCATCAGGGATATTGGTCTAAAATTCTCTTTTTTTGTTGTGTCTCTGCCAGGCATTGGTATCAGAATGATGCTGGCCTCATAAAATGAGTCAGGGAGAGTTCCCTCTTTTTCTATCAATTGGAATAGTTTCAGAAGGAATGGTATCAGCTCCTCCGTGTACCTCTGGTAGAATTCGGCTGTGAATCCATCTAGTCCTGGACTTTTTTTGTTTGGTAAGGTATTAATTATTGCCTTAATTTCCGAGCCTGTTATTGGTCTATTCAGAGATTCAACTTCTTCCTGGTTTAGACTTGGGAGGATGTATGTGTCGAGGAATGTATCCATTTCTTCTAGATTTTCGAGTTTATTTGTGTAGAGGTGTTTATAGTATTCTCTGATGGTAGTTTGTATTTCTGTGGGATCGGTGGTGATATCCCCTTTATCATTTTTTATTGTGTCTATTTGATTCTTCTCCCTTTTCTTCTTTATTAGTCTTGCTAGCAGTCTATCAATTCTGTTGATCTTTTCAAAAATTCAGCTCCTGCATGCCCTCTCTCACCACTCCTATTCAACACAGTGTTGGAAGTTCTGGCCAGGGCAATCAGGCAGGAGAAGGAAATAAAGGGTATTCAATTAGGAAAAGAGGAAGTCAAATTGTCCCTGTTTGCAGATCACATGATTGAATATCTAGAAAACCCCATCATCTCAGCCCAAAATCTCCTTAAGCTGATAGGCAACTTCAGCAAAGTCTCAGGATACAAAATCAATGTGCAAAAATCACAAGCATTCTTATACACCAATAACAGACAAACAGAGAGCCAAATCATGAATGAACTGCCATTCACAATTGCTTCAAAGAGAATAAAATACCTAGGAATTCAACTTACAAGAGGACGTGAAGGACCTCTTCAAGGAGAACTACAAACCACTGCTCAATGAAATAAAGAGAATACAAACAAATAGAGGAACAATCCATGCTCATGGGTAGGAAGAATCAATATCATGAAAATGGCCATACTGCCCAAGGTAATTTACAGATTCAATGCCATCCCCATCAAGCTACCAATGACTTTCTTCACAGATTTGGAAAAAACTACTTTAAAGTTCATATGGAACCAAAAAAGAGCCAACATTGCCAAGTCAATCCTAAGCCAGAAGAACAAAGCTGGAGGCATCACGCTACCTGACTTCAAACTATACTACAAGGCTACAGTAACCAAAACAGTATGGTACTGGTACCAAAACAGAGATATAGACCAATGGAACAGAACAGAGCCCTCAGAAATAATGCCACATATCTACAACCATCTGATCTTTGACAAACCTGACAAAAACAAGAAATGGGGAAAGGATTCCCTATTTAATAAATGGTTCTGGGAAAACTGGCTAGCCATATGTAGAAAGCTGAAACTGGATCCCTTCCTTACACCTTATACAAAAATTAATTCAGGATGGATTAAAGACTTAAACATTAGACCTGAAACCATAAAAACCCTAGAAGAAAACCTAGGCAATACCCTTCAGGGCACAGGCATGGGCAAGGACTTCATGTCTAAAACACCAGAAGCAATGGCAACAAAAGCCAAAATTGACAAATGGGATCTAATTAAACTAAAGAGCTTCTGCACAGCAAAAGAAACTACCATCAGAATGAACAGGCACCCTACAGAATGGGAGAAAATTATTGCAATCTACTCATCTGACAAAGGGCTAATATCCAGAATCTACAATGAACTCAAACAAACTTACAAGAAAAAAAAAACCCCGTCAAAAAGTGGGTGAAGGATATGAACAGACACTTCTTAAAAGAAGACATTTATTCAGCCAACAGACACATGAAAAAATGTTCATCATCACTGGCCATCAGAGAAATGCAAATCAAAACCACAATGATATACCATCTCACACCAGTTAGAATGGTGATCATTAAAAAGTCAGGAAACAACAGGTGCTGGAGAGGATGTGGACAATAGGAACACTTTTACACTGTTGGTGGGACTGTAAACTAGTTCAACCATTGTGGAAGACAGTGTGATGATTCCTCAGGGATCTAGAACTAGAAATACCATTTGACCCACTCATCCCATTACTGGGTATATACCCAAAGGATTATAAATCATGCTGCTATAAAGACACATGCACACGTATGTTTATTGCGGCACTATTCACAATAGCAAAGACTTGGAACCAACCCAAATGTCCAACAATGATAGACTGGATTAAGAAAATGTGGCACATATACACCATGGAATACTATGCAGCCATAAAAAATGATGAGTTCATGTCCTTTGTAGGGACATGGATGAAGCTGGAAACCATCATTCTCAGCAAACTATCACAAGGACAAAAAGCCAAACACCACATGTTCTCGTTCATAGGTGGGAATTGAACAATGAGAACACTTGGACACAGGAAGGAGAACATCACACACTGGGGCCTGTTGTGGAGTGGGGGGAGGGGGGAGAGATAGCATTAGGAGATATACCTAATGTTAAATGACGAATTAATGGTTGCAGCACACCAACATGGCACATGTATACATATGAAACTAACCTGCATGTTGTGCACATGTACCCTAAAATTTCAAGTATATATAAAAAAAAGAATATAACCAAAATTTGCTTTTTGAAAGAACAAAAAAGACTGATAAAACTGCTAACTACATCAATAAAGAAAAAAGAGAGAACTAAATAAACATAATCCCAAGTGATAAAGGTGACATTACCACAGACCCCATAGAAACACGAAAAAAATTCTCAGAGACTATCACAAACCCTTTTATGCACACAAATTGGAAAATCTAGAAGAAATGGATAAATTCCTGGAAACATACAACCTACCAATATTGAACCAAGAAAACCTGAAACACTAAAAACAAAAATAATGAGTTCAGAAATTGAATTAATAGCAGAAAACCTAATAACAAGAAAAGGCCCTGTACCAGATGGATTCCCATCCAAGTGTCAGCATATGTACAAAGAAGATCTGGTGCCATTCGTACTGCAATTATTCCTAAAATTTGAATAGGATAAACTCCTCACTAGCTCATTCTATCAGGCCAGCATTATTCTGATACCAAAACATGTCAGAGACAAAACAAAAATAGTCTATGAGTCAATATCCTTGATGAATATAGATGCAAAAAAAATCCATAACAAAGTAGTAGCAAACCAAATCCAATAGCATATCAAAAGCTAATCCACCACCATCAGGTATATTTTATCTCTGGGATGCAAGGTTGGTTCAACATATGCAAACCTATAAATGTGATTCATCACATAAAGAGAACTAAAAACAAAAACCACATGATCATCTCAATGTACACAGAAAAGGCTTGCAACCTAATCCAACAGCCTTTTATGTTATAAACCCTAAACAAATCAGGCATCAAAGGAACATTCTTGAAAATAATAAGAGCCATTTATGGCAAACCCACATCCAATAGCTTACTGCATGGGTAAAATTGAAGCATTCCCCTTGTGAAAAAGAACAAGAAAAAGATGCCTGCTCTTACCATTCCTATTCCACATAGTACAAAAAACCTAGCCAAAGCAATCAGGGAAGAGAAAGAAATAAAAGGCATTCAAAGAAAGAGAGGAAGCCAAAGTTTGTCTCTTGACCGATTATATAATTGTGTACCTAGGAAACTCCATCATCTTATCCAAAAGCCATCTAGAACTTATAAACAATTTTAGTGAAGTTTCATAATAAAAAATCAATGTACAAAAATCAGTAGCTTTTTTATTATTAGACTTTAAGTTTTGGGATACATGTGCAGAACGTGCAGATTTGTTACATAGGCATACACGTGTCATGGTGGTTTGTTGCACCCATCAACACATCATCTACATCAGGTATTTCTCCTAATGCTATCCCTCCCCTAGCCCCCCACTCCTCACAGGCCCCAGTGTGTGATGTTTCCCTCCCTGTCTTCATGTGTTCTCGTTGTTCAACTCCCACTTATGAGTGAGAACATGTGGTGTTTGGTTTTCTGTTCCTATGTTAGTTTGCTGAGAATGATGGTTTCCAGCTTCATCCATGTCCCTGCAAAGGACCTGAACGCATCCTTTTTTATGGCTGCATGGTATTCCATGGTGTATATGTGCCAAATTTTCTTTATACAGTCTATCATTGATGGGCATTTTGGTTGGTTCCAAGTCCTTGCTATTGTGAACAGTGCTGCAATAAACATACGTGTGCATGTGTCTTTATAGTAGAATGATTTATAATCCTTTGGGTATATACCCAATAATGGTATTGGTGGATCTAAATAAACTAAAGAGCTTCTGCACAGCAAAAGAAACTATCATCAGACTGAACAGGCAACCTACAGAATGGGAGTAAATTTTTGCAATCTATCCATCTGACAAAGGGCTAATATCCAGAATCTATAAAGAACTTAAACAAATGTACCAGATACAAAGAAATAACTCCAAATCAAAACCACAATGAGATACCATTTCACACCAGTTAGAATGGCAATCATTAAAAAGTCAGGAAACAACAGGTGCTGGAGAGGATGTGGAGAAATAGGAACACTTTTACACTGTTGGTGGGACTGTAAACTAGTTCAACCATTGTGGAAGTCAGTGTGGCGATTCCTCAGGGATCTAGAACTAGAAATACCATTTGACCCAGCCATCCCATTACTGGGTATATACCCAAAGGACTATAAATCATGCTGCTATAAAGACACATGCACAAGTATGTTTATTGTGGCATTATTCACGATAGCAAAGACTTGGAACCAACCCAAATGTCCAACAATGATAGACTGGATTAAGAAAATGTGGCACATATACACCATGGAATACTAAGCAGCCACAAAAAATGATGAGTTCATGTCCTTTGTAGGGACATGGATGAAATTGGAAATCATCATTCTCAGTAAACTATCGCAAGAACAAAAAACCAAACACCGCATATTCTCACTCATAGGTGGGAATTGAACAATGAGATCACATGGACACAGGAAGGGGAACATCACACTCTGGCAACTGTTGTGGGGTGGGGGGAGTGGGGAGGGATAGCATTGGGAGATATACCTAATGCTAGATAACGAGTTAGTGGGTGCAGCACACCAGCATGGCACATGTATACATATATAACTAACCTGCACATTGTGCACGTGTACCCTAAAGCTTAAAGTATAATAATAATAAATAAATAAATAAATTTAAAAAAAAAGAAAAAAAAGAAATAACTCCATCAAAAAGTGGGTGAAGGATATGAATAGACACAGAAGGCAGCATTTAATGAAACAAGGATTGATTCTGTAAAGATGGAATAATAGGGTACTCTGGATACCTTAATTAAAAAATGCAAAGGCACAATATGAGAAAATGTGTGTGGAAATAATTTTCTTATTTGTATGCATCATGATGACATGCACAAGATTATCAGCAGGGGAAGAAGTGGGACTACAAAATATGCAATATTTGCAATATATGACTTACCGTATTTTCAACTTATAATGTTTATCTGTATATACCCTACTGCAAGACAAGGAGTGTGCTTATTGAATGTATATTGATTTTGCACCATGTTAAAGTTAAAAAATCTTGAGGTGAACCATCATAACTTGGAGACTGTATTGCCAATAGCAAGGGTAGTTTGTTTTAAGCATGCTCTACTCTGAAGAGTCTTGAAAGATCTACTCCTGCTTCTAAGAAAGAATACCATGGTCTTCATAGTCTACTACTGACTTCATAGTCTACTACAGAATAGAGGTAGAATTCATGGCTTCCATGTTCTTAACATCATTCATTGTTGCAAGGATGAGCCTTGCTGCATAAATGAACAATGCCTATTATGGATAGGGGTATACAAGACAAAATATACCAAGAGGGTATCAGATAAAAGGGACCCTTAGGCATGGATCTAAGGCTCAACATTTATATGTATGTGGTACAGATAATTCTAAGCTGATCCCTGTGGCGTTTGACCTCTGGAATTACTCTAGTGATTCTGTTGCATTACATGGTGATATGATTTGGCTGTGTTCCAACCCAAATCTCATCTTGAATTGTAGCTCTCATAATCTCCATGTGTCATGAGGGGGACCCAGTGTGAGGTAATTGAATCATGGGGGCAGGTTTTTCCTGTGCTGTTCTCATGATAGAGGATAAGTCTCGAGAAATCTGATGGTTTTATAAAGGGCAGTTCCCCTGCACACACTCTCTTGCCTGCTGCCATGTAAGAGGTGACTTTGCTTCTTCTTTGCCTTCTACCATGATTTTGAACCCTCCCCAGCTATGTGAAACTATGAGTTCGTTAAACCTCTTTTTCTTTATAAATTACAGTCTTGGGTATTTCTTCATGGCAGTATAAAAATGGACTAATACACACAGCAAAAAGGATTTTCCAGATCGCTTATTAATCAGAAAGCTTATTTAATAGGCCTAATGTAATCACACAAGCCCTTCTAAAAAGTTGTTTCTAGCTGTTGGCAAAAAAGGGAGTCAAAGCAATTCCAAGTGTGAGAAAAATTTACCATGACTTTGTGAACTCTGTTCTTAAGTAGGCCACAGCACAGGACCTGAGTATGGCCACTGGAAGCTGAGAAAAATTGCTGGCTGATAGCCAGCAATAAACCAAGAAACTTATTCTGGATTTTTGCCAACAGTATGGATGAGCTTATAAGCAAATATTTTCGCAGACCCTCCATATAAGACTACAGCCTAGTGGACACCTTAATTTCAGTCTTGTGATGTCCTTAGAAAGATAATTCAGTCAAAAATGCCTGGGTTTGTGGCTTATAGAATTGTGAGATAATAAATAGGTGTAGTTTTAAGTCACTAAGCATGTGATAAATTTTTTTGCAGATATGCAAAACTGATACAAAGGTAAAGGTAAAGAAATACTTTATACCAGTTTCTGGTATCCTTTGCATTTGGGATTGTGTAATAGCATTGTTTTGTTTCTATTTTGGGTGGCGATATGGATTGGCTGTATCAGCACCCAAAATCACATCTTGAATTGTAATCCCCATAATCCCCACGTGTCAAGGGAGAGACTAGGTGGAGGTAATTGAATCATGGAGGCGGTTTTCCCTCATGCCATTCTCATGATAATGAGTGAGTTATCATGAGATCTGATGGTTTTATAAATGTTTAGTAGTTCCTCCTGCATTCCTTCTCCTTCCTGATGCCTTGTGAGAAAGGTGCCTTGCTTTCCCTTTGCCTTCTGGAATGATCAAAAGTTTCCTGAAGTTTCCCCAGCTATGCTGATCTGTGAGTCAATTCAACCTCTTTCCATTATAAATTACCCATTCTTGACCAGTGTCTTATAGCAGTGTGAAAACACACAAATAGAGGCTGTGACTGAACATCCCTCAGATATTAAGGGGCATAATGAAAGAGTTGTCTATGTAAATTTGGTAGTTTTTAATATGAGAATTTAATGTACTAAAGCTTGGAATAATTTGTACAATCCAACAGAAAATAATACTGTACAAATTTGAGTTGTTGAAGCCGGAACATCTCAGCTAACTTTTCCTATATATTGTTAACCCATTTAATTAGTCATGAGATGTCTAGTAGTATAAATTCTACCATTCCTTTAAAATGTGAAAATAAGGAAAATGAGAACCGAGCAGGAAAAAGCATTCTCCAGGCTCTTGAACTTGTATTCATAAGAAAGTCATAAAATAATCCTTGGACTATCGACTAAGGAAATTTGTGTACTGTAATCAAATATTGAGTGATATCAACAAGATAAAAAAATAGAATGTCCCAGCAATGATCCCCTCAGAGAAACACCAATTTAATAAGCATGTATAGACAAAAATACATTCATGAGAATCCAGTTAAGAAGTTGTAGCATCCCAGAGAAGCCAAAGACTAAGAACAGCCACATTGAAACAGACAAGAGGAACAGTTCCACTTTGCCCATACCATGCCCTACCCCAATCTGGCACAGCTCCATGTAGAGAGAGATCACCTTGGCCTGTGATTTCTTCCATGGAATTGAGGGAACTAGAGAGAAAAATATGCATCCAGCATCCCTAGATATATGGATTCCTACTCAAAAGGACTGCTTCTATCTCACCTTACCTACAACACTGAGGGAACCCAGCATAATTGGAATGAGTCAGGGAAGCTAAGAGCAAAGAGGGAGTATTTCTCAGAAAGTGGTGCAGCTCAGCCTATGGCACATATTTCAACAGCTAGTGTAGATCTCAGTAAAGGACATGGATATTAGCAGACAGCATGAACCTCAGCAAACAGTACAATTATCAGCAACCAACATAGCTATCAGCTGATGGTATAGATATCAACAGCCAGTGTGGCTCTCAGCAGCTGGTGCAGTTCTCAGAATATGGTAATACTCTCAGATGATGTCCCAGTTATGAGGAGCTAACACAGATCTCAGCAGTTGATGCAGACTCAGCAGATGGCATGGATCCGAACATCTGTTGCAGTTCTCAGCTGACAGTGAACATCCTGGTAGATAGCACAGCTCTCAGAATTTGCCATGGATCCCAGTGGACTGTGTGGTTCTCAGCAGCCAGTGCAGATTTTGCCAGACAGCATGGATTTCAGCAGATGGCACAGTTATCAACTTACCATGTACCTTTCAGCAGCTGACACAGATCCCAGAAGCTGACACAGATTTCAGCAGATGGCATGCATCTCAACAGCTATCACAGCTGAAGTGTTGCTATAAGTAGATGCCATACCTCTCAACTGATATCTCAGCAGTCAGATCAGCTCAGCAGAACTGGAAGAAGGCACAAAATCCTGAGATGTCTGCTTCAGAAGGGAAAAAAGGAATGGGAACTTTCAACTAAAGACCTAGCATCTCAGTAAACTGACCTAGGAAAGTGGGTTGGGTGGCTTTTAGCACTAAGCATGGTTCTGAAAGATTGGGAGAAGGTGCACAATCCTGAGACTGCCTCCTTCCCAAGGAGGGAGAGATGTGAAGAATACATATCCATTGAAAATATTTGAGAGACACCCGGAATCTGTAGCTGATGACATGTTTTCCTGTTGAAGCAACTTCATAAGGACTGGAAGATGTGGCTGGTTCTTCAACTGTACAGATACTAATGCATATCTATCAGGAATTTGAAGAAGAATCAAGGAAATATGAAACTACCAAAGGAACAAAATAAATCTCCAGTAATCAATTCTAAAGGCATGGAGATCTGTGTATTGCCTGACAAAGAATTCAAAATAATTGTTTTAAAGAAGTTTCATCCAACAATGATAGACTGGATTAAGAAAATGTGGCACATATACACCATGAAATACTATGCAGCCAGAAAAAATGATGAGTTCATGTCCTTTGTAGGGACATGGATGAAGTTGGAAACCATCATTCTCAGCAAACTATCGCAAGGACAAAAAACCAAACACCACATGTTCTCACTCATAGGTGGGAATTGAAAAATGGGAACACTTGGACACAGGAAGGGGAATATCACACACTGGGGCCTGTCATAGGCTGGGGGGAGGGGGGAGCAATAGCATTAGGAGATATACCTAATGCTAAATGACGAGTTAATGGGTGCAGCACACCAACATGGCACATGTATACATATGTAACAAACCTGCAAGTTGTGCACTTTTACCCTAGAACTTAAAGTATAATAAAAAAAATTAAAACAAAATACATTATTCCTAATAAGATTAAAGAAATCCTGTTCACTAATGACTATGGTCGTCTTAAAAGATTGATAATTTGAAGAAAGAAGTTAATATTGTTTTATATAAATACATTGTTCAAAGGGTTTATACAGATTTACACCCACAGGCAATATATAGAATGCCTTGTTTCCCTATATTTAACCAACACTTTGTGTTATCAGACTTTACATTCATATAAGTTATTATCAAATTGCTCTCAGGTATCAATTGGTGATATGGTTTGTATTTGTGTTTCCACCCAAATCTTATGTTGAATTGTAATCCCCAGTGTCAGAGGAGGGGTCAGGTGGGAGGTGATTGGCTCATGGAGGTGGACTTCCCCCTTGCTGTTGTTGTAATAGTGAGTGTGTCCCCATGAGATCTAGTTGTTTATAAGTGTGTAGCACCTCCCCCTTCTCTCTCTTCCTCCTTCTCCTGTCATGGTAAGATGTGCTTGCTTCCTTTCCTGAGGCCTCCCCAGCCATGGTTCCTGTACAGCCTGCAGAACTGTGAGTCAATTAAACCTCTTTTCTGTATAAATTAACCAGCCTCATGTAGTTCTTTATAGCAATGTGATAACAGAAAACTGACAATGATGTTATATATAAGAAAAAATACATTTTTGCTATAACTATGACAGTATAACAAATATTCTCACTGGATCGATAAGAGTACTGTATGGGGTAATTCATATAAAATTATTAAAATATTTTGTGGCATGGAGTAAGTGCTAAATAAATAGCCAAATTTGGGACTATCTTGGTCTAAGCTCTGTATAAGATCTTATATAAGCTTGTATAAAAGCACTGTGAGATATGAGATTAGGAGGGACTTGACAGCAGGAGTTTCACATGGCATAAGCACTTTCTTGGAACAACTTCATTGGGGCAGTATTTTCACTGGTCGCAGTTAGGAATGCTTGGTTGATACCTGTATCACAAACAGCATTCTATAAATACATGAACATAATATACTCATATATAAAATTAAACACATCCAAAAGCATTTTTTATCTTAGCAAATGACACTGCCAACAATTAAACTGAGAAGCTAGAAATGTAGAAATTATCCTAGAAATCCCTTTCTCTCACTTCCATTCTCAACCTGTCAATTAGTTCTGTGGATTTTGTCTCCCACATATCACTGAAATGGGCCTTTTCTCCATATCTCTACCACCATTGTAGCCATCAAATATCAAGACACCATTATCTTGATCAAAACTATAGTAATAACTTTCTGGAATAGCATCTCCACATCTACTTTTCCATACCCAATTCTTCTTACAGAAGCTAGACTTTTCTTTCCAGAAATACCTGTAAAACTGTCACTCTTTTGCCTTAAAATCTTTGATAGAACTCAGTTGTTTTTGGAATACAGAATAAAATTCTTAACATTGCTATAAGGCCCTGCATGGTATGAACCCAATCTACCTCTCCAGCCCCATATTATATCAAGAAATTTATTTCCCTCTCTTATTAACCATAACTTTTATTTTGATTTCTCAAGTATGTCATTCTTTCATCCAATGTAAGGCCTTTGCACATGCTGTTTCCTCTGCCTGGAATTTTCTTCTACCCATTCTGCTTCTAAATAATTCCTACCTGTCCTTCATATTTCAGCTCCATTATCATTTCTATGACTTGGCAAGTTACCATTATTATATACTTTTCTGGCATGATCACACTTTAGTTGATAAAATACATTATTTAGACTGTTTTTCATTATCATCTATTATTTGTTGATATCTCACACTAATTATAAACTCCCACAGAACATGTGTGTTTTGTTCACTTTTGTTTTTCTACAGTGTCTGACAATAGAAAGAGTTTAATAACTATTTGTTCAATGAATGAACATATAATTATATACAAGTATTTAATGTTATATACTAATGGTCTTCAAAAAGTTCATGAAAAATGTGTATTATAAAAAATTATGAGGAATCGCCACACTGTCTTCCACATGGTTTAACTAATTTACATTCCCACCAACAGCATAAAAGTGTTCCTATTTCTCCACAGCCTTGCCAGCATCTGTTGTTGCTTTACTTTTTAGTACTCTCCATTCTAACTGGCGTGAGATGGTATCTCATTGTGGTTTTGATTTCCATTTCTCTAATAATCAGTGATGTTGAGATTTTTTCATATGTTTATTGGCCACAAAGAAGTTTTCTTTTCAGAAGTATCTGTACATGTCTTTTACCCACTTTTTAATGGGGTTGTTTTTTTTCCTGTAAGTTTGTTTCAGTTCCTTGTAGATTATGGATATTAGACCTTTGTCAGATGGATAGATTGCAAAAATTTTCTCCCATTCTGTAGGTTGTCTGTTCACTCTGATGATAGTTTCTTTTGCTGTGCAGGAGCTCTTTAGTTTAATTAGATCACATATGTCAATTTTTGGTTTTGTTATTTGATATAAAATATCAAAAGCAATTGCTTTCAATATTTTTTGTCATAAAATCTTTGCCCATGACTATGTCTTGAATAGTATTGCCTACATTTTCTTCTAGAGTTTTTATAGTTTTGGGTTTTACATTTAAGTCTTTAGTCCATCTTTTAGTTCAACCATTGTGGAAGACAGTGTGGATATTCCTCAAAGAACTAGAACCAGAAACATCATTTGACCCAGCAATCCCATTGCTGGGTATATACCCAAAGGAATATATATCATTCTATTGTAAAGATACATGCACAAGTATGTTCGTTACAGCACTGTTCACAATAGCGAAGACATGGAATCAACTCAAATGTCCATCAATGATAGACTGGATAAAGAAAACATCATACATATACATCGTGGAATACTATGCAGTCATAAAAAGAAACAAGATCATGTCCTTTGCAAGAACATAGGTGAAGCTGGAAACCATTATCCTCAACAAAGGAACACTGGAACAGAAAAACAAATACAGTGTGTTCTCACTTATAAGTGGAAGCTGAACAATAAGAACACATGGACACAGTCAGAAGAACAATATGCAGTGGGGCCTGTTGGAGGGTATTGGGGTAGGGAGAGCATCAGGAAAAATAGCTAATGCATGCGGGACTTAATACCTAGGTGATGGGTTGATAAGTTCAGCAAACTACCTCGGCATATGTTTACCTATAACAAACCTACATGTCCTGCATATGTATACCAGAACTTTAAATTAAATTAAATTAAATGTAAAAATTTCTGCATGTATTTCAAACTATTTTTGCTCCAAAATAAATTCATACTAACTTGTTATATCAAGTCTGATCAGAATCTAGCTTGAAGCACTAACAAAGATATGGCATTAGTTGGACAAGGTCCTCTATCAGAGCAACATGAATTCTGCTAAAACGGAAGCAAGAACAAATATCAAATTTGTGGTGAAGCTTATGGGGAAGAATGCTAAAGTCAATGATGCTTTAATAAAAGTTTATAGGGATAATACTCCCAAAGAAATTATCAGTTTACAAATGGATAATTCATCTTCTAGAAGGAATGAGATGATGGTAAAGGTGAAATCTGTTGCAGCAGATCATGCATATAAATTTGTGAGAAAAAAAATCTTATTCAGGCCCTAAATTAAGAGGACCAATGTTTAAGAGCAGAAACAATAGCTAACACCATAGACAGTTCAAGTGCTTCAGCATATACAATTCTGACTGAAAAATTAAGGTTGAACACACTTTCCAGTCAATGAACGCCAAAACCATTGCACACAAGATTAGCTGCAGACAAGAATGGAGCTTTCAATGGAAATTTTAAACAAGTGGGATCAAGGTCCTGACATATTTCTTTGAAGAACTGTTACCAGAGATGAAACATGACTTTACCAATACACTCCTGAAGACAAAGCACAATCAAAGCAATGGTTACCGAAAGGTGGGAGTGTCCCACCCTTAGCAAAAGTAAGCTATTGAAGAGCAAAGATTATGGCAGCAGTTTTTTTGGATGCTCAAGGCATTTTGCTTCTTTTCCTTCTGGAGGGCCAAAGGACTATAACATCTGCATATTACAAGTGTTTTTGAGAAAGTTAGCCAGAACTTTAGCAGAAAAATGCCCAGGAAAGCTTCACCAGAGAGTCCTTCTTGACCACAACTATGTTCCTGCTCATTCCTCTTACCAAACAGGGACAACTTTATGAGAGTTTCAATGGGAAATCATTAGGCATCCACCTTACAGTCTTGATTTGGCATTTTCTGACTTCATTTTGTTATCTCATCTTTAAAAATCTTTAAATGGCACCTGTTTCCTTCAGTTATTAATGGAAAAAAAGACTATATTGACATGGTTAAACTCCCAGGACCCCCAGTTATTTAATGGCAGATATCATCACCTACACAACTGTCATGAACTTGATGGAGCTTATGTTGAAAAATAAAGTTTTTATTTTTATTTTTTATACTTTATTCAAATTTTCAATAAATGTCTTGAAGCTCCCTCGTATTTCAACTCTGAGTTCATATATTACATTATCTGAGATGCTTTTCCAAATTCCCTTAGCAAAAGATTCTAACGTTTCCACTAGCTTTCTACATTGCTGTCCACCTCATTACCCTGCTATTTTTCTCTTTAGCATTTATTCTTATTAGAAAGTATTTATCTATTTATCTAGATATTTATTTTCTTTCCACCATGAGACTGCAAGTTCTTTGATGGTAAAGACTTTGATTTTTCTAATTTACTACTGTATCACCAACACCTAGAACAATGCTTTACTCATATAGATTCTCAAAATTGTCAAATGAATGAGTCAATGCAACATATTTCACTAGATTTCTACTTATTTTCAGATGTCTGAACCAAAATAAAGCCTTCTTTAGAAATAAAAATTCTAAAACAATGTTTGTTTTCTTTGCAAACATTGAGATCCCTATTCCCTAAAACTTGATAAATGGAAATAATGGCAAAAAGCTGTATATGAAAAAAACTAAGAAAAAATACTAGATAACTGTTGGCAGTGACATTGAAAAGTCCAATTAGGCATGTGATTTTAGAATCTCACTTGTCTCAGTCCAAGAATAACTACAGAAATCAAAAAGATGATAGACCATAGAAAGTAAGTTCATGTGAACAATTGTTACAAAAATAAATGAAGTAATCAAATGATGTCTCTAAATGTCTAGATCTCTAAGGTATATTCGCTAAAATGCAGTAGGGTAGTTTCTGGTACTTTTGGGAAGAGTATAAGTCTCCCTTCTGCCCATGGCTACTCCCTCAATTAATTCTCAACTTACCATTTCAAAATAATGAGATGATCATCTATTTACATTTTTGGATTTATAAAGGATAAAAGCAGTCTTATAAAGTGTGAGAGGCTAATAAATGTTTGTAAATGCTGAAATATTTACAAAAAGCTAAACTGAGAGAACATGAGTTATTGTGGGATCTGGCCAGCAGCCTGCAATGCAACGGGGCTCTCTCTTTGTTCCCAGGCGGATCGGCAGGTTGACAAATAATAGACACACACAAGATAGTGAAAGCTGGGTCCGGGGGGTCACCGCCTTCTGGTCCCGTGGTGCCAACAATGCACTGGATATACCAGCATTTATTATTAAGTTTAGTGAGGGCAGGGGTAGGTTAGTGAGGGATTTAGGGTCATTTGATTATGAGGTGAGATGGTCACATAGGGATGAAGTAATTCTTTAACATAACATCTGTATGCAGAAGTACAGTACACAGAGATAAGAATTTACAATATAGTGTGTGCATCAGTAATTTCTAACAGAGCCTTAAAACAGAAACACAGTCTTTCCATAACCTATGATTAGCAAGATATTAATCAGCAGTAACAGTTGCAGCAAAAGCTGGTTACAAACAATCCATAGAAACAGGACATGAAGTTAGACAACCAGTTAGACCAGAAATTCTCAGAAAGGAGTATGCTTTAACCCTAGAAGAGCCATGGCAAGATGAGGGTGTTTATAGCCCTATCTTATCCATATGGACAGGCACCCCCCACCATGCATCCGTTTATAGGCTCTCCACAAGGATCACATTCCATTCCCAGAGCTATGAACATCTGCTTTTCTGGGATAGGAATCTTGGTGATGTGAAACCTCCCTGACTGCACATCCATTCATAGGCTCTCTGCAGGGGGAAGCACATCACATGCTGTTGGCTTGTTCTGGCAGTCCAACCTGGCATTGTCTTTACACAATCCTGCATGCAACTTTATATTTACAATAATCAGGAGCATTTCATCTTTTATTCTGTAGCAATAGTTTCAGGGGGTCTCCTACAACAAGTATACCAAATAACTAAGTTAATATAAAGTATTTGAGCTATATTTTAGCTCTGAAAGTCATGCCAGCCACAGTCGAAGACAAAATGAATTGGCTGACAGAAGGAAATGGGTCAGGTCACCAGGAGGTGGAAATTTTCTCTGGAACTGAATTTTAAAAAGATAACTATTGTGTACATTTTATATAAGGGTTTTTGAATAACATAGACTATGTTTTTAGTCGTATTCTTTATTAAAAGGCCTGTGATTTTGACAAGATGTGATGTGTTCCCTAGAAATTGTTGACAAATCTTCTTGAGAGTAGTCAGGCATCATAATATTTTCTAAGCCCTATAATTTAATAGTAAAATTGCACTCTATTTTCTATTTTCTACTCTTTCTAGCTTTGATAAATATGTGCTGTGTATATTATATTATTGACCTATGGTTTTTCCATCATTTACATTAGCCACCTATGATATTAATAATAATGTCTTCTAAATCATACCTGCAGAAGTCAACAACGCACAATGAAAGCACATACTGTAGTTTACTTATTTACCCAGCAAAATGTTTCTTGACAAGATGGCCTTAGGTGCAGAACGTCTCACTACCACAGGCCTTCAGGATGGGAGCTGGAGGTTGAAGGTAGAAGACAGCTGCCTTATGTGCATCTCATGTACATCGTTGTAATCTTATGAAGTGAAACAATTTGATGATAGATTTAAAAATTACCAGTCTCTAACTCGCAGAAATTGTTGTTGGGGGTAGGTGTAGCTTTTTTCCAAGTTATTAAAAACAAAGACGAAAACAGCCAGCAACACTATATGTGCCTTGAATTACCATTGAGGAAAAAAAAAAGTCACATGGTTTTGGAAGATTTTTTTAAAGCCATTTAAAAAAGAGTATTTGACTGCATCAGTAAGCAGATATGTCATACATTTAGTTTAAAATTCCAATACAGATGATACTCTACAAGCAGAAGTTGGAAGTCAATTCCATAACTGGGAAATGCAGTTGTTGAAAGCCCCTGCTCCAAGGGATTTGAAGTTATACTCTAGGCAGGCTAAACTGCCTGTGAATATGACCTTGATGAACAAATAGAAATATGTAGTGACAAAAGATCTCACAATATATTTAGCCACAGCCATAAAGTGCTATATAAGTTAAATGAATTCTTTACATAACATATTGCAAGCATTGTATCGTGACAGCACTCTAGCAAAGAATGACAACAAAATCTCAAAATCAGATACTTTTGGCAAACTTTGAGTCACTTCACGTGCTTAATCTTGGGACATTCGGGCTGAAATAATTGTTTGCAAGAAATAATTATTAACATTGTACCAACTGAATTTTGACATGCAGATGTTTCTACTAATCTCTGTAGTGATGATTGATTAGTGTATAGATGATGTTTAACCTTCAGAAAGGAGAATGAAGGGTGGCTATAGTTACTCAAAATGGTAACAAGCCTTTATTGTAGGTTTCAGGAGAATTAATTTGAGTGAAGGATTTTGTTGAAGTTATTTCATGTGGTTATTAGAAATGCCTGCTGACTTGAGACTGAGACTTTAAAACCACTGAATAAAATTGACTAGACCAAATGAAGGGCTGCAAACTGTTATAATATAAGGTAATTGATACAGCAGTACTTAAGACTGGACCTCAGTGAAACTGTGAGATTGCATTTGTCTCTCATAACTATCTCCCTTCTATTTTACTAACTGCTGCCTTCCTTTCTCCTGGTGAGTAGTTAACAGCAAAGATGGTAAGAATTGAAGTCATCAGCTGCATTCGTTTTCTATTGTTGCATAACAAATTATCAGATTAAGACCCACCTATTAGCTCA